>NW_003315960.1:94225-198278 GCF_000001405.40 Homo sapiens | reverse complement strand
GAATTCATATAAATAATAAAATGTTTAATTGAAAAGTAATACACAGGTATATTTATTAAAAAAAATACAGAATTACTTATCCTGTACTTTTTCAACTGACTTTTAATCCAACATCAAGACTGAATTTGTGAGAACTTTAACCAGCAGTTACTCAAGGAAATGCTTATCGTGTAGTAGTCCAGGGGTTCTCGGGGTGTGGTCCTGGAACTATCATTATCAAGGTTACCTGAGACTTTGTTAGAACTGTGGAATCTCCTGCCCGACCCCAGGCCTTCTGAATGGAAACTTACGGGCCTGTGCCAAGCAATCTGTGCTTTAACAAGCCTTCCAAATGAGTTCATCATGCAATCCAGTTTGAAGACCACTAGTCTAGTTTATGATGACTACGCTGATCTTTCAATTCTAGGTTGTCTTCTGGTCCACTTTTTCGTGTCTCTTTATGGATAAACTTTCCAGGAATGGTCATTTTCTTATGTCAGGAATTAGGTGACCTTCTGTTATTCCTACTGGCTGGCATCTTTTGCACATCTCCTAAATATTTTGATATGCACATCCCATCCTTCTGAAATAGATTTCCAAATACTAAATTTCTCCCACTTCCTAGTTGCTGGTAAGTGGGTGCTTGGCCTAGGTTATACCAATTAGATGCACTCAAATGAAAACTAGATGTGGAAGGGGCAGCATAAAATCATAGCCACCAACATGTGGACTGATCTTTGGATGAGCACAGTGGTGGGGCTGTCTAGTTCTTTGGGACTGTGGCAGAACTTCCAATGTTCAATCAATATCCTTGTCAACGTCCAGCGGTGAGCTATGGCAGTTGTGGTGTTTTTAGCAGAACATCCTCCCTATGTGTTTGGGTGCAGCTCCTGGCTCCATTGTTTCCAATTGAATAGCACCAAGCCTGGTTCTTTGTCCCTCCTGAAAATTCTGTGAACTCCCTCATTTCCTTTAATAAAAACTTGCATTTCAATCTTGCTAAAGTAGATTTTGTTGTTTCCAACTGAGAATGCTGAATGAACAGATTATTTGGAAAAGAATATTTATGATTAATTATTGGAAATTCTCCATGTCTTCAGCTGTATCGGGCAAATGGGTTTTTTAGTTGGCATCAGCTGCACTTTTAAGCTCTAAGTGCTTCCCTCCTTAAAAACACAATACAAGCGGAATGCCCACACTTCAGTGACCACTGACAGTTACTCATTACCAAGGAAGAGCTTCTTTGTGCTTGCAGTATGGCTCACATTTCTGCTCTGCATCTTCTTCAGCAGTCTGTCATCTTCCTAAATACCTCTCTGTTTTGTTGCATTGTTTACTGTCTTTGGTTCGGTTCCTTCAGTATTGTCCTTGAGTGGTACTTTGTTGGTGGGCTGATTTTATGGTTCTTGGCTTTTGGTCAGGCACAGTTTCCAAAATGAGCCTGACCTTGATACTGCACTGAGCAGAAATCCATGTACTCTTGATTACTTCCTGCATATACAAATTGCTCATTGCCCCTCCACCCTTGCCTGCAGCTACTAGGATTTCATAATTTAATCATCTTATATCTACTTTGTTGTAGTGTGCAATTCCAGGATTGAAATGTTTTTATTGAAAAATTGGAATGAAATGGCATTTAGTATGATGTATTATGAAATGAATTTTTAAAATGTTAATTTTCATGTTAGAAAACAATTGGTGAGTTGCCTCTCATTTTGAGAACATGAGAAGAAAATAAACCAGTATCAACAAATCAAAAAGTAATAAGAGGATAAATAGAATAAAATCAGGGAGAGTTAGCCTCATAACTTACCCAAAAAACACAATAATTTAAATGGCTGACTTTAACAAACAGAGCTATTTTACTAAAGTGTTGGAAGATAAATCTATATTTCAAAGTGTTAATGCATGCATGGGAAAAACAGAGGCAGGGGATATAGAACACTAATTTGATAAACTTTTTCATGAACCAATAAATAGAAATATAATGTGAGTCTAAAAAATAATTTAAGATGACCTGCAAATCCAAATATACATCTGATATTGAAACAGCCATTAATTTTATACAAGATGTAGAGATGTCTCTTCAAAATAAATTAAAATTATTCTTTATAACAACTATTAATAATATCAGAATTTATCTATTCGTAAATCCTTCTCTGGTTAATGCTATTTTTTTCAGCACTTTTACGCTGTGGCTGAAGAGTCACAAAATATGTTCAGAGGGTTCTATTGTATAGATTATTTTGTTTCCAAACCCATGGTCTGTTTATTAAATAAATAAACATCACAGGATGCGGGAACATCAAAATAAAATAAGCTTTCCTGTAGTTCCAAGGGCAAATTGCATTAAAAGTTTGGAAAGGCTGTGTCCTTCTAGTAAGCAGCTCTATCAGACCATCCAGGCTTGCCTTCTGGCTCAATAAATAAACAATTAACATGGAATGCTTCCCAGTATTTGAATTTGTCATCACGTTTCTTCTTTTAAAATTTCCTAGTCAAAGAACGTAATTAAACCTTGTAATTTATTTTAAAATATTGACATAGCAAGTGTGTATTGCCATATCTTCGTTTTGTTAAGGCTTTTCTTTTTTACTAAATTATATATTTATTTAGAATAAAGTCATTCTTCTGTTTCAAAGCAGGCATAAGGCTTTTGGCACAGAACAGGTGAGAGATAATAAAAGTATGAGTTAGGGCAGTGACCTAGAGAGGAGAGGATTTGTTTTAGAAATAGGTGGCAAAATTAGTAGAATTTTGTGATAGATAGGGTGAAACTAATGCAGGTAAACTATTAATACACTCAGATGAGAGTAAAAGAAAAAAATAAGGTAGTAGTTGAATAAAAAAGAGCAAAAGAGAGAATTTTTACAGAGGGAGAGGCTCTATATTTACATGTTCAGGATAAGTAGCTGGTAGAGAGAGAGGTCAAAGATAAAATAAGAGCCAATATTTATTAAGGTCTTCTTCTAAATACTTTATAAGTATTTCATTTAATGCTCATCAAATGCCTTACCAGGGAGGTTATATTATTATCCTGTTTTACAGCTGAGGAAACACAGACACAGCTTTTTTTTTTTTTTTTTTTTTTTTTTTTTGAGATGGAATTTTGCTCTTGTTGCCCAGGCTGTAGTGCAATGGCACAATCTCGGCTCACCGCAACCTCTGCCTCCCGGGACAGACACAGACTTCTAAATAATATGCCCAAGTGCACATAGCTAGCAGTGGCAGAGGTAGACTGAATTCAGGTTCTTAACAAACTCACTGGAATTTCTTACTAGAGAGAGAGGAGGAAATTGATGAAGTCCCAGAGGAAATGTGATTGAGCAAGATTGTAGATAAAGGTGTATACTAAAGGGAAGATTCTCTGGGACAATAAGAGATGGCATAAAGATAGGGACAGATGCAGATCATGTTTTAAAAGAAGTTAGACAGGAAGTTAAAATACTTTGTGTCTGCCAGCTGCAATTTACCTGAAGAAAGTAAGGCTGTCCCCCAACTCTAAAGCAGACTGTCAGTGGTTTACACTGATAATACTTGCAGAAGGAATAGCTACTTGAATGTGTGAGCAATGACCAGCCAATTTCATTCTATTTCTAATTATTTCACCGCACTAGAAAACTGAAAAGATCATTACAAAATGACCCTATGATGATATTGCTGTATATAAAAAGTAAGAAAAATGAAGATGCTTTTACTTGAAATTCAGGCTAACTCACAGTAATACAGAATAGATAGTTACCTACTTCTCAGCTACATAATGTAAACTTAATTTTTACAATCTCAAATAACAAAAATTAGGTTTTAAAGATTATAAAACAAATATAAGAATTAAATTACACCTTTGTATGTTGAAAAGTAAATCCAAATAACTATGGATAAATATATATATAATTAATTAATATAATTCCATAAATCAGAAAGGGATTTTGAGATCATACGGCCGAAATGCTTCACTTCTCAGAAGGGGAAGCCAATCAAGGGCATGTGTAGCACATGACTTGGCAAAAATGATGCAGTTCTTTGATAGGAAAGCCAGGACTTATTGTACTGTAGTCTTTTTTGTCTTTCATTTGGTCAGAAGAAATGTCATATCTCATGTTCTTTCATATCTCATGTTAATCTCATGATTATCATGTAAGACACTGTACATATTTAATGTCTGCAACTTGACAAGTTAGGGGATAAGCACATATACACATCCATGAAAGTATTGCTACCATGAAATTCACAGACAGTTCCGTCACCTCCAAAAATTTCCTCCCATCCTTATTATTATTAGTTTGTGATAAGAATATTTAACATAAAATCTACCATCTTAAAAGTAATTGAGGTTTTTGATATTACTTTCAATGGTAAAATCACAATTACTTTTGCACCAACCTAATAGTATTATTAGCTATAAGTACTATGCTATTAATATATACTGTATATGTATATTAATATATACCCAAACTTCATTTTCCTGCATAACTGAAACTTTGTACCCTTTGACCATCATTTCTTCATTCTTGCCCCCATGCCCATATATCCTGGTAACCACCATTGTACTCTCTGCTTCTACGAGTTTGACTATTTTAGATTTTACATGTAAGCAAGATGATCTGCTATTTGATTTTCTGTGTCTGACTTATTTCACCTAGCATAATGTCCTCCCTGCCCATCTGTGTTGTCTCAAATGAGAGGATTGCCATTTTTATTGTGGAATAATATTCCATTTTATATTTACATGAATACACACACATATTTTCTTTGCCCATTCATTTACTGATGGATATTTAGGTTGTTTCTAGATCTTAGCTATTGCAGATAATGCCACAAAGAACATGGGAGGGCCGGTATCTTTTCAAGATTCTGATATCAATTTCTTCCTTTTGTTGTGTTATTATTTATGTACATTGACATCTTCCATAATTGATATATAAACTATTAATTGATTCTGAGGGGTTAGATAAGGGAACTAACATTTGGAGAATGCTCACTCATTGCCAAGAATATTGCTGAGCACCTCTCTTATACTTTACCATATGTAATTACCCTACGTATTAATTGATGACTCCCTCTATTTTCACAGGAGAGAAAATTGTGTCTGAGGGAGGTTAAACATCTCACAGGAGGTCATTTATAATCATTTGCTTCCACTGCAATGTGATATAGCATGATGCCTGCACCTTTTAAATATCTGTTTTATTTTTTCCCTGTGCAATTCTTGAAATTTTATACTTTTAAATAATATCAGCATGGTCCTGGAAAGCTCAATCTTTTATTTAGATAGTATAGATTATACAGAGTAGTTACAAGTTAACTGATAATATGAAATAAAGTTTAGCAGCTGTCACCCTTAAGCACATCCAAGGGAAGGGACAGTAACAGCAGAATCTGGGAGTGAAGTACATGATGGAACATAATTGTTCATTTGACCTTATGTAAGAAAAAAATAATAAAACTTCCAGAAATGTATGTGTCTATGCTTAGCTTGGCACTAACTACCCCAATAGCTTTTAGGCCCTTATCTACAAATGTACGTAAAGCAGAAAACTGCTTTAGCCATCTATCTTCCTAAATTAATTTTCCTCTAATTCTGTCCAAGTTTTTAACTTTTATGTTCTATATCTGTACATGTTTTAACATAATTTGGATGTGAAAGATGAAAATGCATCATTAAGTTTGGTCTTAGGTAAGTAATGATAACCAAGTAATGGAGACTTTGAGGGACGATGGTGAGCCATGTGAATTCTGAATCATACAACATCACCAATGTACAGAAGTACATCGAGAGAATTCCACACACATCTGCTGAAAACACAAGATTCCAATCAATGTATCATCTTATCTGATGATGGAACTGGAATTCAGAGACACCAAAAATATTGCCTCCAAGTTCAGTAACTAATAAGAACTATTGAGGGTGCATCCTTGTAGACTAAGCTAGTGTACGCAAGAAGGAATCTATAAACAGATTTCAGAAAGTTCACTGGATTAAGCCAGGCGCAGTGGCTCACCCCTGTAATCCCAGCACTTTTGGAGGCCGAGGCGGGCGGATCACCTGAGGTCAGGAGTTCGAGACCAACCTGACCAACATGGAGAAACCCTGTCTCTACTAAAAATACAAAATAAGCCGGGTGTGGTGGCACATGCCTGTAATTCCAGCTACTCGGGAGGCTGAAACAGGAGAATCGCTTGAACCTGGGAGGTGGAGGTTGCAGTGAACTGAGATCGGGCCATTGCACTCCAGCCTAGGTAACAACAGTGAAACTCCGTCTCAAAAAAAAAGAAGAAAAAGGAAAGAAAGGAAGGAAGAAAGGAAGGAAGGAAGGAAGGAAGGAGGGAAGGGAAAGTTAGTTTACTGGATTGTTAAAGGACTGAAGGAATAGATTTTCACCTGAAGTTTTAAGAGACAAAAAAAAAAACAAAAACAACAACAACAAAAAAACGACAACAACAAAAAAAAAAACACACTCTACATAACCCTCCGGGGAAAAGACTGTGGCTGTCACTCACCTTGGAACTCTGCTGCCTCTGCCTCTCTGGAGGATCTGTGGCTACCATCATCACCTCAGGAGCTTGCTACCTTTGATAACCTTCTTCATACCAGAAGAAGGATGCCTCATGTCCTATTTCCTCATAAACTTGCTAGCAAATCTGAGTTTTTTAAGGGAACATTGGTTTAGCATAATCAAAGTCACATGTGTAAATTCTAGTGACAAAGCAAACTGAGAAATGCAGTTTATTAGATTCTCTGCAGGATATATATGGAAATTTCTCAATACAAAAAAGGATTGGAACATATTTTAAGCATTCCAGCCTTTATAATCCAGTCATAAATTTCTCAATATGAACAAGCAGCCTTTTTCCATACTTGAACTTTCTAACAATGAAAATAATAGGCTCCACCCTCCCATCTCAGGAAAATACAATTTTACCTATAAATGTGAAAACAAGTTCACATTCTTGCCAAAACAAAATGTCCTCAAAATCATCAGCTTCTATCTCTAATGATATTTCTTCCTCATCTAGTTCAGTTATATAAGCATTTTGATATTCTGTAACATGAATGTAATTTGAAATTTTATTTTACCTGCCAGAGTCCCCATATTTTATACTTTTAAATAATAATGGCATGGTTGATATTATTTGAAAGTACAAAATATTCCAGTCTCAGGCAAAATAAACTTCACAAATACCATATATAAAATAATTCGGGTAAGAAAGTGAGGTGGATGTTTATTAATGTACATAGGTAGATACATGATATGGCAAAGCAATTAGAAGATATAAATAGTAACCACCATTCTGATTTCTCCAATGGCTCAGGAAATCACACTTGTGATTTGTAATTTAACTCTTCCACCAATCATTCCATATTTCCACTTTCTGGATTCATTACCCCTAATATATTTTAGTGCATGATTGTCCAGCCTTTATAAGGTTATTGTAGTTTTACATTAACTGTTAGCATTGAACATGGCAAAACTGAGAAGCACCCTTAAAATTCCCTGATTTGATGGCATACTCTTTCCTATCCCAACTGCATAGCAGCGACCCTATTGCTTTGCTTCAGGTTCCATACAGCATTTCTGAGCAACTACAGATACACCAAGCAACACTGGGGCCACCAGTGTAAGTGGCCCAAGTGTCTATGCTACTTACATTGCAGCTTGGACCAGCTGAGGAGCCTTCTCTTTCTCTCAGCCTTTCTGATAGATAGGCTTACTAATTTGGCAACAAATGGGTTGGAGTAGTACAATCAAATGCTGATACAATGTTTCTCCAAGATTTAGTGTGATATAATTTGGATGCTTGTCCCCTCCAAATTTCTTGTTGAAATGTGATTCCCCAGTTTCAGAGGTGGGGTCAGGTGTTTGTGTCATGGGGGTAGATCCCTCCTGAATAGGTTTGTGCCCTCCCCATCCATGGTAATGAGTGAGTTCTCACTCTGTTAGTTCATTCAAGATCTGGTTGATGAAAGAGTATGGGACCTCCCCCGTTTCCCTCTCTTTCTCCCTCTCTCATATGCTGGTTCCCCTTGGGCTTCTGCCATGATTGCAATCTTTCTGAGGCCCTCACCAGAAGCAGATGCTGTTAGTATGGTTCATGTACAGCCTGCAGAACTGTAAACCAAATATATTTCTTTATACGTTACTCAGTCTCAGGTGTTCCTTTATAGTAACTCAAATGGACAAACACAGTGTGACCTGCCAGTCTTCATGCATCATTATAAGTGGTGAGAATCATAAGGACTTGCACTTTGTCATTAACTTTGGAGGGCAGATCCTGAATAGGTTCCTGAAATTTCATGTTTCATGCACTCTAGATCAAGATGATATAGTGTAGTGGGTACATATAAGATTCTGTAGGATGCTGAGAAAACCAAGTCCCTGCATACTCAATAATGGCATGACCAGTGAGTCACAGCCATTTTCTACAGGAGTAAAATTGCTACCAAATTGACATAAGAAACATTTTATCTTTTTAGTCAAGATGTCAGTGTTATCAACAAGCAAGTTGATTGTAATAATGTTTTACCTATATGGTTTTTGCATTTCAAAACTGATTTTTTTTTCTAAATAAGTACAGGGCAAGTCAAAAGAGTTACAATACTTTTTTTTTTATCAGATCACTGCTTTGATCTTAGTGGGATATGTAAGATTAATATATTGCAATCTCTATCTTCTATTCAAATTCTATCAAGAATGTATCTTGTTTAAGTAGTACATTAATTTTAAAATTAATATTTATAATCATGGTTGTAAAATAAATGTCCTGTCACAGTGAATTGAATAATTTCTGTATACATTATGAATATGTATTTTAAATACAAAACTGACTATTCTGATTTTCAAAGATAGTTTTCAAATTAAATTTGTCTTGTAACTCAAAATTGGCCTATATATTTTTATTCAATTCATTTAAATCTTATTTTAAAAAGTGTTAAACAAATATAAAAGTTAGTCATTGGACATAACTTGTCTCTGGTGTTTCTGAAACATCAGAAAACAATCAATAATGCAGTAGTCAGATTGAGTAGTAGTTATAATTGAAAATTTAATAAGATATGCTATATATATAAAATCTAATTTATGTCACTTGTCATGCATGATTGAATGGTTAGAATTACTTAATCAAAAATCTTTTCCATTCAACAATGAAAACAATTCAGACAGATTAGTAGTTTAAATTAATGAATCAATTTAATCAAAGTAAGTGAAGCCCATCTAGAATAAAGTTGGAGTATCCAGCTTCCATGAAACTTTCTGGATGTTTTTATCAAGTGATTTAACACTTGTTCAGTATCTTCTAACATGGGTAATTTTATACATCAACCCAACACTAAAAACACCCAGTAGATGCTTAATAGATATTGATGGAAATGAAGACTAATACATGTACCTCTTACCTTTGGCATCCTAAATAGAAAAAAAAATTCACAGAGCATCTACAGCTTTTGTCTGTATCTTATGGGCATACAAATAAATGTTTTACAAACTGTTATAAAATTTTTTAAAGCTATAAAATGATTCTGTAGGAATGTATGAAGTGAAGATATGTCTAATCTTCTAATCAAAGTCCTGTATATTTCTACAACATAACTATTCTTTTTTGGAGATTGGGTTTTATTTTTATTATTCGCAGTTAATTACTCCCTATCAAATGCAATCTTGTTTTTTTTTTTTTTTTTTTTTTTTTTTTTTTTTTTTTTTGAGACGGAGTCTCGCTCTGTCGCCCAGGCTGGAGTGCAGTGGCGGGATCTCGGCTCACTGCAAGCTCCGCCTCCCGGGTTCACGCCATTCTCCTGCCTCAGCCTCCCAAGTAGCTGGGACCACAGGCGCCCGCCACTACGCCCGGCTAATTTTTTGTACTTTTAGTAGAGACGGGGTTTCACCGTTTTAGCCGGGATGGTCTCGATCTCCTGACCTCGTGATCCGCCCGCCTCGGCCTCCCAAAGTGCTGGGATTACAGGCGTGAGCCACCGCGCCCGGCCATGCAATCTTGTTTTTAAAAAATACTAGTGTTTAGATCAGCAGATATTAAATTTTTAGCACCCGAATCACTTCACATACATGATTATCCAACCATGGATAAATTCCAGTTTTGACATTGCTAGTGGTGTACTTCAGGTCCTTGCCAACTTCCATAGCTGCAATATTATCTCTTTCTCACAATTACTGCTTGGTCAAAAACCACTCAACCTAGATATCTACAAATACTGAATAAGAGATAGTATTCTTTGGGAAAAAATAAAAATAATAATTAGGATAAAATCAATAATTCTAATTAAATAGCAATTCTCTCTCACTCCGTCTTTGTCTATCAAGAGAAAGCTACTATTTCTCTGTAACTTTCAAGATACACGAATGGCCAAGAAACCTATGAAAAAATGTTCAACATCACTAATTACCAGGGAAGTGCAAATCAAAACCACAATGTGATACCACTTTACTCATGAAAGAATGGCCATAATCAAAAAATTAAAAAATAATAGATGTTGGCGAGGATGCAGTGAAAAGGGAACACTTTCACACTGCGAGTAGGAATGTAAACTAGTACAACCCCTATGGAAAACAGTGTGGAGATTCCTTAAATAACTAAAAGTAGAACTGTCATTTGATCCAGCAATCCCACTACTGGGTGTCTACCCAGAGGAAAAGAAATCATTATACAAAAGAAATACTTGCACACACATGTTTATAGCAGCACAATTTGCAATTGCAAAAAAAATAAGGAGCCAGCTCAAATGTCCATCAATCAGTGAGTGGATGAAGAAATTATGATGTGTGTGTGTGTGTATATATATATATACTATTCAGCCATAAAAAGGAACAAAATAACTGCATCTGCAGCAACCTGGATGGAATTGTAAACCATTATTCTAAGTGAAGCAACACAAGAATGGAAAACCAAATATTGTATCTTCCCACTGACAAATGGGAGCTCAGTTGTGAGGACACAAAGGCATAAGAATAATACGACGGACTTTGGGGACTTGGGGAAAAGGGTGGGACGGGGATGAGAGATAAGACTACAAATTGGGTATGGTGTACACTGCTCGGGTGATGGGTGCACCAAAATCTCACAAATCACCACTAAAGAACTTATTCATGTAACCAAACACGACCTGTTTCCCAAAAACCTATGGAAATTTTAAAAAATTTCAAAAAAGATGCTAAGCTGCTCTTAGATCCTGCTCTCTCTGCGTATCTCTATTGTGGAGCATCGCTGCTTTGGTATCACCTCTTTTTTCCTGTTTCCTCCCTTGGCGACTTCCTCTCTCTCTCATCTGATAATTCAAACTGATTCGTTTCCTGTTCTTAATTTTTTGATATCTAGGTTTGTTACCTCCTTAATCCCTAGTGTCTCTCAGAGTCAGCTCTGAGAGATTCAAAAAAACAAGCTTCTTTTATATAAGCATTGTAATTTACTCTTAGACCTCAATAATTCAATGAACCTCAAAGATCTAGGTGTAAACAAAAACAATTATGACTCATTTTGAAGATAAAATTTAAGAATAAACATTAAACATTTTTATTTCTATTCTGCTTTAACATTCTGTGGAAATCACATCAAGAAAAAATACTCTGCTAGAAAAATTAAATTATGTAAACTGTGTTAGAGACAAGATAGAAATTTTATCTAAGGAGAGCAGCTGGCTTCACCATGGTCCCGAGTCTTATTCTCAGTTTTGCGGATCCAGCGAACGAATGTACCAGAAGACAGAATTCAGGAAAACTGAATCACACTCTTTCAGGAATCCTTTTGGTCACACACACACACACACACACACACAGGCACATGATGTTTGGAGTTACTCCACCCTAGCAATCTACTCAGCACTGATATGCATATTAAATTTGTTAAAGACTACATGTTTAAGGACTGATTTATTCGCATTTTGATAAACAATGACAGTAAGTATATATTTTTAAATCTTTCAGAATCTATGATCTCATATTTCTTTATCACAATATAGGCAGAGAGGAAAGAGAGAGAGAGAGAGATTACTGTTCATTTCTTTCTGACAATGTCCACAGGGGACTGATACCCTTAATGTTTCCACAGCCTTGATACATTTTGTACGAAACAGGTAAAATAGGAGTGGTCCAATAACAGAGTAAACCAAAGGACCAAAGTAGCTTTCAGCAATATCTACCCCCCCGCTTTATCACACCCATTAGACCTACATTTGAGGAATTGTCGGGAAGTTATCATTTATGTACATAAAAACACACACCAATAGTATTAAATCTGCCTCTTAACCTATGCTTTTTTTCTCCCAGACTTCTACATCAGAGTTTAACAAGGTTATTGGGCTCAATGATGTGCTATTTTTCCTCAATAATATATTTTACCTGATTTAATTATCTGATACACACAAACACACCCAAAATGCTCACTGATTTTTTTCCAAAATAAATAAATAAATAGGCAGTATATATTATTCCTTTCCCCTAAATATAAGCACCCAATCTAGATAATTTATACACTTTTTGAAATTGAAAAAGTATATTAATTTACATGTTTTCATCTATATAATCAACCTTTTCATATACTATCACCAAATTAAATTTTTATTTTTCCTCAGAAATCAGCTCTTCCTCTAAAATTACTTTCTTCACCGAATATTCATGACCTGTTGCTTTGTTATCTTTGTCAGAATTCTAGAATTTTGACTTGCACCATTTTTCTCCCTGGGAAGAAATCACCTTTCTTAAATTTTTCTTGAATATATGCCCTCACTGTACTACGGATGGCTCTTTACCACACAAATGACCTTACCACTAAGGACTCTAGAATTCTAGGACTCCATAAGTGTCTTGGGCCTCTTAAAAGTCTCTATCCAGGAAAATCTTTTTCTCTTCAACATTAATCTCCATCTTAAAGGCAGAAAAAGAATTTCTAGAACACTGATAGTGAAAACAATTTAACTTATGCAAAATACCATACCTTTGTTTCACTACAGGTCTGTTTCTGGGTTGATTTGTTTTATTTTTTCAACACATATTCAATCTGAGTCTTAAGCCTAAGTCTTCATAACATCATCCTATAAAGAGGCAAGTGAAAGGCTCAGTCCAAACATAGGAACAGGATGAGCAAAGGTAAGCTCTCAGGTAAATCACCGGTATAGTTCGAAGCCTGGTGCCTGTGGGTAGATGTGGATAGAGACTGGAGGGCATTGGTAATCCACTCTCGTAAATTCCTTCCCGTGAAGAAACAATTATCCTTCCTCAGTGTTCCTGAAGTATGTGTGCACATCCAAAATAGATGTTTCCCCCACATATTGTATTAGTTATTGTTAGCATCTGACTTCCTAGTTAGGCTAAGAGCAATTTGAAAAGCTGGCCCACATTTACATAGTTCATTATCTCCCCAAATCACCCAATCCCTAGTATATTTACAGTAAATATTTATTGAATGGATGTGTGAAGAAATGTGCTTTCAAATTTCCATAAACAAAAAAATCATTATTATGTATTTCTACCATTGTGAATACCTGCAAAATAATTTCATCCATAATCCAATTATTAATATATGTGAAATCATTGCCACCATACCAAATTTTAACATAAATGATAGAAACTTACAATACTTTTAGAAAGCTGGTTGACAGGGACATATTAATTGTTTTGTGTTCAATGAAGCCAAGAAGCATTTGACTCACTGCAGAAGTGAATTAAACTGGGTGGGTATTTGTCGTTGTTCTATTCCATAGATGTCTTTTTTCAAAACGCCATTTCCCATTTGCTAAGGCAATTTGCCGAACACAAGGTTTCAACTAACCTTTCTTAAACACCTAATCAACAACCTAAATAATTCATCCTCCTCATGTTGAAACCTTCATTTCCATTCCCTCATGAATCTGGTGGCTCAAATTCCTTGGTATTTTCAGGACACTGCACTGTAATCCTATGTTTTCAGTTTTTCCAGTGACAAATACTTGACAGCTTTCTCAGGTATGGTAAGTCACCTATTTTCTATATTTCAAATTTTTTTTTTTTTTTTCTTATATTTTCTTTAGTTCTTCTGCTGTTGTGGTTTTAAAAATCCCATTTCTAAACTCCAGTAAAATATCAGGTGGGAGCAAATAAGACATTTGTATTTAATCTGATACTTTACTTGGTATTCCCTGTGATAGTCTTTCAACACACAATCTAACATTATTATAAACATTCCTATGGAAACTAGACTTCAACTTTTCCTAAAACACATTGAACTAGTCAGTACCACTGTCTCCTCTTTCTTTATTGCCATTGATAAAGCTAAGTGGAATCTTTGCATATGGTGGTGTGTCAGAGTTTATTTTAAAACATTTATAATATTCTCTTGGCACTTAGAACATTTACTTATCTGGCCCCTGGAAGTGAAGTCTCTAAAGAGGTTTATCAAGAATGAAAAAATGAATTAGTGAATAAATCATGCTTAGTCAACTGCTTTCTGTCCCAAAATAATAATTTTTGATCATTTTCTTCCTTTTATCGATACATTACTTTAGCTAACTCACATTCTGTCCTTAAGAATGTGTTACTTAAATTTCTCTAGCAGAAATTATAGATGTTATCTGTTCGTATCTTGTAAATGAAGAAAAGTGACTACTAATTTCAGTGTTTGCATTTACTATCTTTGTATCCTTACTCATGCACAATAATACCTATATTCAGTCCCTAAACACAATGATTAACTCAACACTTCAAGTCCTAGCTTTCTAACATAACACCATTGCCACATATTGTAATTATTTCTCTTTCCTCAATAGATTGTGACTTTTTCAAGGACAGTAACCTTTCAAGGACTTACTCATTTTGCAAATCTTGCCTCTAAATCTATTAATAACAAATTTACAATGCTGTTTAGAGCATCTTAGGCCTGTAATAAGTATTCGTTAAATCAACTCAGTCAACTGCCCTTGTGCCACCCTAACAGACATTTGCAGACCGTAGTTTTGTTTTAACTGATCTGACTAGAATACACAGTTATATAGATAGTTTCTCGAGAATACAAAAACATTTGGTCAATATGGTGAGAAAAAACAAAGTTGCCATTGTGGATGCAAAATTGCCAGTGTCTCTTCCTTTTTGTCTCTTTTCAAAATGTAGTTCTGGTATTATAAAAATAAAAATAAACACTGCTGTGTCAATCAGATGACAATTTCTTCTTTAACTCACACAGCAAATTGATTTGCCTTGTTCAGAATTGGATCTGCTATGAAAAAAAATCAACAGCTTCACAATGATTCTGGAATTTCGTATATAGTAATAATTAGCATAACCTCACTTTATAATTCAATTCGCTATAAAGGAACAATTTTCCATAATAGATTTGCCTTTATTTTCCCTAATAACATTAACGATGAAAGATGTCATGATAAGTGAGTTCATGGCTTTTTCCAACAGCATGCTTGCTTTGACTTAAGGAGAGATGAGATATGAGAGGGTCTGGTATAAGATTCCTTCCACGAGTCCTTTTCTCCTTTTCTGCTCCTCTCACCCCAGTGATCACCCCAGTGATGTGCTATTTACATGACATATGTATTGATTCTCCCTAATCCCTAATAGTTGCTTAGCTAAAAGTTTACTGTTGCTATTATTCCTCAAGTTTTCTATTTTTCACAGTGTTTTTTATCCTTTATATTTTAAGGGCAGCCCTCAGAATAATATAGTTTAGAATTTTTGAATTCGATGAAAAGATTAAAATCAGTAAGTGAAACAATGATCTTTTCTCCAGGACAAAATGAGGAGTTAGCTTACATTACCCACTAAGGTCCTTTCCTCTTCTAAATTTGAGGATCAAGAATCAGCAAGAGTGCTAGGGCTTCTACATAACCCAAGTCCTGCAAGGGACGCACACATACAGGCCTGTCTTAAGAGGGGTCTTCAAACAAATTATAGCGCTTTGACCAATTAGAACCTTGCCCAGTTGGCTACAGCTGACTGGCCAGCAGAATTAAAGTAAGACTTTCATTAGAGCGGTGGCTATAAGACCTCCCATACAGAATGATTCAATTAAATCCGGTGCCTGGGGGGTTTCCTATGAGCCATTACAGAAGGACTAAGTGAGTTGCTAACATTTAGAGTAACCAGTAAGTGGAGGTGAGAATTGTCCAAATATCTAATATCTAAGTACCAGATCTTCAGAGTATCTTGAACATAATTTCAGTTTTCTATGGAACTGATAAAATACTTTCTGAACTTCTGGATTTTTATATATATACTATAACTAAGGTCATAGCAATTGAGGTAATTTGAATATGTCATTTTTTTAATGAAGTAAAGATTCAAATAGATATATATAAAACTTGATTTTTAAAATATGCTTATATTATGTAAATTACATAACAATATATAGAATATAAAATATTTATGGATGTTTAATTTTTATTTTTGATTAGGTAAAACATAACATTTGGATGACTCATATTTACTAAATTTAACTTTAGATGGCTTTCCTTTTGATTTCATTACCTGTACCCTTTTGAAAGAAATAGGGATAGAATCCCAACCAAATAGCAGAATTACACAAAAGCACTTTTAAAAAATCAAATCTATAAATACAAAGAATCTATATAGTTGCAGAATACACAGATATCTTAGAAATAATGAGTTTTGCTTAATTTTTTTAAAAAAATATGTATGGGTATAATTTTCTTCAAGGGTTTCTGAATATTTTTTTAAATTTGTTTTAAACTCACCTAACTTTCAAATCTATTTTAATCCCACTGAAATCCAAAACTCCCAATCTCACAAGAGCAAGTGATATAATTAAATCAACAATATAACCATATCAAGGTTATTTAAGTCAGTTACATTACAGATTAGCAAGCCTTTTATATAGGAAAAAAAAGACAATATGTATCGAAAATGGGCAAATTATTTTCCCCCTTTGCTGCTGTCTTGGTAATTTTATCATACTAAATGTTTTAAATTTTAAATAGCAATTAAATAAGCCAGAATAAAATATTTGAAGCTATGAACTATACTGAGTTTGATGCTTTAAAAATAATATGTCCTTAGGAAGGAAAACCGAGTCCAAATTAAAAGCACATTGAATAATACTATTCATAGCAGTATGAAATGCAAAGATAAAGGTATCTGGAGTGAATAATGGAAATTAAGTTCATTAGATGAATGTAAAAGAAATGATTATTTGGATCTGTTTTTAAATTCCCCTAAGCATTTTTAAGTTATATATTTGAGACATTTTTAATTCACAATTTTAAATTACTTTCTAACACAGAAAGGACAGTTTAAAGGAAGAAGGATAAGAATAACAAATTTTACCTTCATTTTAAGAAGTGCTTTTTTTTTTTTTTTGGTCATGAGGCACAGGAAGTCTGTAATTAATAGCATAATTCACAAGAAATGGTCCCCTGCTACTATAAAGTTCTTGCCATGGTAAATGTTCTTTACTTTTCCACAAAAAATAAGAGAGGTTTTGCAAGTTGCCAAAAAGAGAACTATAAAAAGAGATACACAAAAAATAATTTCAAAATGTAGAATTCACATGCAACCTTTTGTTTCCTCTTGTGGACCTCACGATCCAGAGGCTCTCACCAGCAAACACTGGAAGCTACCATCAGCATTGCCCAGGCATAATGTGAAACCTTAAGTTCTGGCAATGGCGTTAATGATAATTCACTGTAGGGAAAGGCGACTTCCTTTTCACAAGTAAACTTTGGTGGTCTTTGTATCTTTTTGGTTAAAACTGATATTTCTACCCCTTTTGATGGTAGATACAAAATCTTTAAATGACATTAAGAATAGTATTAAAAATTGATTTTAAGGGAACAATAAAAGCTAATTTACATGAGGTTGAGATCCATTTTTTAAAAGTAACTTTTTTTACTAAAGAAAAGCAGTTATTAAACCGATGTATCTTTTTTATAAAAAACAGAGTTGAATTAAATTTTTGATGTTTCAAGTCTAATGTTTAATATGTGCCACACTTATTATCAAAGATTCCTTTTAAAATTAATACATAATATTTTATACATTTATGTGGTACATGTATTTATTACATGTATAAAATATTTAATGATTAAATCAGGGTATTTGGAGTATCCATCACCTGGAGTACATATCACTTCTGTGGAATGAGAACATTTCAAGTCCACTCTTCCAGTCACTTTGAAATATATAATACATCATTGCTAACTATAGTCACTGTACTCTGCTATGAACATTGGAACTTATATCTTCTATCTAATACATTTTTGTACGAATTAACCAACCTTTCTTCATGCCCGCTTCCCAACCACACACCCTCTGGTATCTATCATTCTATACCACACCACTATGAGATCAACTTTTTTAGCTCCCACGTGAATGAGAACATGTGATATTTGTCTTTCTGTGCCTGGCTCATTTCAGCTAACTCAATGACTTCCAATTCCATCTGCACTGCTGCAGATGACAGGATTTCATTCTTTTTTACGGCTGAATACTATTCCATTGTGTATGTACATGTTTTCTTTATTCATTTGTCCAATGATAGACACTTAGCTTGATTGTGAATCGTGCTTCAATAAACATGTCGATGAAGGTATGCCTTTGATATACTAATTTCTTTTATTTTGTATAAATAGTAGAGGGATTGCTAAATCATGTGGCAGTTCTATTTTAAGTTTTTTGAGAAGTCTCCGTATTGTTTTCCATAGTGGTTGTACTAATTTACATCCACACCAATAGTGTATAAGAGTTTTCTTTACACCCTCACTAACATCTCTTATTTGTTGTCTTATTGATAATAGTCATTCTAACTAGGGTAAGATAATATCTCATTGTCATTTGGTTTTCATTTCCTTGATGATTAGCAATGTGGAGCATTTTTCATATACCTGCTGTACATTTTTATGTCTTTTTAAGTACACGTCTTTCCATGTCCTTTTTAATGGAGTAATTTGATTTTTTACTGTTGAGTTGTTTGAGTTTCTTGTACATTCTAGATATTAGTCCCTTGTCAGATGAATAATTGGCAAATATTTTCTCTCATTCAACAGGTTGTTTTCTCATTCTGTTGCTTGTTTCCTTTGCTGTGCAGAAGCTTCTTAGTTTAATATAGTCCCATTTGTCTATTTTTGTTTTTGAGCTCTTGGGGTATTACCTATTCAATTCATTCTGTCCCTCATGGTTTTCATTAGGGACCTCACCATGATTCCTCCTCACAGGTGAAATACTCCCATCCAATTCCTGCACACTTCTGTGTGGGTGAAACTTTCACAGCCTCTAAGCTCCTTGAACACCACATTCCAATGAATTTATCCTCTACTCCATCTCTGGTCATGCTCTGGACCTTTACGTCATGCAAAATTACTAATTTCTACATCCTGCTTGGGTTTTCCTGATGCTGCTCTTTTCATAGCTTATTCTTCACACAGTTGTCAGAGAAATTTTTTTGAAATAGTTCATATCTTACTGATCCCCTGCTCAAAGCACTCTAGTAACTTCCTAACACACCGAGGACACAATTTAGTATCCTTACCAAGGGACGCAGGCCATGCATTATCTGCTCCTTAGTTACTTCTCCAAATCCTCAACCCCACATCCTCCAAATGCTTTCCAGGTGCACTGGCTTCCTTGCTTTTCCTCAGTCTCACTAGGCACTTCTGTCTCCAGGCCTGTGTCTCAGCTGATGTATCGACTGAAATTCTCTTGCCTTATTCTGTCACTTCTTTTGGTCCCGGCTCAAATATCACCCAGAAGAAGGATCTCTAAATTAGCATTTCAGTGTTTCTTTTGCTTCTTAATCTGCTTTATTACCTTCCTGTTATTTGTTGCTATAAAACCTTATATTTTTGTATATGTAGGTATTGTATGTTAGCTTTGCATGAAGGTAAGCCTCCCAGGCATCAAGGGATTTAGTTCTCTGGTTCACTGGCCTATTTTTAGCACTGAGTCTGACTAGAAATTTAAAAATGTGAATGCAAGAAAAATAAGAAACAGAAAGAATCGTGATGTGATTAGGCTTTGAGTCTCCACTCAAATCTCATATTGAATTTAACCCCCATAATCTCCTCTCCATGTGTCAAGGGAGAGACCAGGTGGAGGTATATGAATCATGGTGTGGTTTCTCCCATGCTGTTCTCCTGATAGGTGAGTTCTTATCAGATCTGAAGAAGGTGCCTTGTTTCCTCTCTGCCTTCTGCCATGATTGTAAGTTTCCTGAGGCCTCCCCAGCCACGCCGAACTGTGTGAGGCAATTATCCAGTCTCGGGCAGTTCTTTATAGCAGTATAAAAATGGACTGATACACTTGTTTTCTCAAAACACCTCCTCTTTCTGCAGCTTACTTGTACAGCTCTTTCTCTAGGATCATTTGTCAGCCGCATCAGAAATTCATTACAGAAGCTTGCCATATTCATAGTTCCTTCTGTATACAGATAGATTCATGGAACATCATTTCAGTAGCACTGCTGCAAATACCACAGTCTCCTTGTACTGTGTCCAAGGTGAAACCTAATCTTGGATTGACTTTATAATCTGCTTTCTCCATGACTGTACCCACACAATTCATTGCTACTGCAGAAAATCAGAGAGTACAGCAAATACCACTCTTTTAAATATTTAGAGAATAGAGCTAGCCGAACATTTTGAAAGATAAGCTATGAGATAATGGAAGCATAAAAGATTCTGGCATTCTGGCTTATGTGACTGGATGTATGTGACACTTCCCAAAATACAAGGGAATGGAAATGGATCAGGTTTAGAGTAAGAGGAATTTGCAAATTTGAGTTTGGCCATTTGAGTTTTTGGGTTGATTTTTGAGACATTCCATTGGTACTACTAAAAAGGCAGTTGATTACCCAGATTTCGACATATAAAAGTAGAAAATTAATCTATGGATGGCTGTTAAAGACGTGGTCATATATAAGATTGTATAGTGAGAGGACAGAGTGAGAAGGGGAGACAGTCCAGGAGCCTTAAGGCTCTTTGAGGGTCCAATAGGTAAGGACTGCAAAGGAGGTAGAGGTGAAAATTAGGAAAGTTACTGTTCACAGGCCAGTGTAAATGACAGTTTCAAAGACGTACAATGAACAACAATATCATATGCTGATGAGAGGTCAAGTAAGATGAGAATTGGAATAGTCCTATTGAATTCAATGACATAGATGTCATTGATGTCCTCAGAAGAAGCCCTTTCAGGAAACGGTGAGGGGAGACACCAGAATGCTTTGGGTTAAAAAGATAGTGAGAAGGGATAAAATCTGGAGATTGAGTGCGGTGCAGAGATGAGAAGATAATTTCTAGGATCCAAATCAGAGGTGGATTTATTATTGACTTTAGGTAAAAAGAGAGATACCTCCCATATTGTAATCCGAGAAGGAAAGAAGCTTTGTGCAGATGTAGGTAGACTTGCAGGTTTGATAGCTGGACAATGAGGGAATTCCTGTCTATTGATTTTAGTTTTCAAGGAAAAAGAACAATTTATCCTCTAGAGATTAAGTAGAAACATGTCTGATTGTGCTAGTGGGGTCCTGGTTTTTAAGAGAATGTAAAGGGCATTTACTAGTCATGGGGAGTGTAACATCAGTTTAGGAGAGGTTCATGGAAGGACTACAGTGCAGAGTTGACAGCCCATTTCTCCAACTAGGTCCCATCCATCCATCTTCACTGCCATCAATCTGATTCAAGCACCGTATCTTGCCAGAACTACAGCAATAGACTAGTCTCTTTGGAAGTGCCTTGGTAATTTATTCTACATAGTATAGACAGGGAGATATGTGCAAAACACAAATCTGATATTCATGTTAATTTATATTTAAAATCCTTAACAGCTTCTTACTGTTAAGACAAAGACCAAAATCTTTAACATATATAACATGATTATAAAATGTATCATCCAAACCAAGAGACGTTTGAGATTGGCAGGAAGCACTACCAATACTTAAGATGGGAAAGCTATTGTAACCCCATACTACCCTGGGCAAAATGAGATTGATTATAAACCTATGTATTAGATCTTACTCGGTTAAATATCTTAAGTCTTCCATCATGTCACATTATCCTAAGCTGCTTCCATCCAGATACAATGGGAAAGCTAATACAACCCCATACTATATAAACCTATGTATTAACTCTTACATGGTTGAACATCTTTAGTCTTCCATCACATCACATTATCCTAACCTTCCTTCTATCTAGATAACCAATTATTTTTGTTTTTCTTCTGAGCCTGCCTCCCTCCCACTACAGGCATTTGCCCTTCCTATTCCATCCACATGAACTTATACTTCTCCCCACCCCTTGCTGGGAAAACACACCATGGGTTTGATTTTTAAAAACCAAAAGTGTCTCCAGTATAATAGTTGCACTGTAGGAACCATTGGTGGTCAAGGCCTGGACCACCACACTAGGTATCCCAACCCATAGAAAGAGAAATTTCCATCAACATGTAAGTATAACCAAGGCTCTCTCCCATATTTTCCTTGTGTCCACTAGGGAAGATGGCACCCCATGACTCTCAGGAAGCAATAGTGTCTTTCCACAAACTCACTGACGGTGGGAGAAATGGACCTTGTGATTATAAGCTAGTAAATGTCAAAATAATTATTTTATAGAATTTCTGATAACATATATTGAAAGAGGCCACGATATTTGTCCAGCAAAATATTCACATTTATAAAAAAGGCTATTAATGAGACAGGGGATTAAAATATTAAAGATGTTTAAAAGGATAACATTATTTGCCTGAGGTAGCAAAACATTGAGAATCTCTTTGTAAGTTGAAATTGCTTAACTTTTAGAAAATATGATATAAAGTTCAATGGATTATGGAAGGTCTGAGTTTTTTCAACCCCTTCCCACAGTTTAGCTCAAGGACAAATTGCCACTTTCTCCAACAAGCCTTCTCTAACTATTCCTCCACGTTTCCTGTCTACCATAAAGTAGCATAATTTTTTTTCACTTTAACACAGCTTTTATTTATATATATATATTAGTGTCAATATGTCAATGGAACTTTTTCCTGCACTACACCATAAACTCAATGAGAGCTGCAACCCTGTTCTTCTTTTTACTATTGTATACCCATTGCTAACCACTGAGATTGGCACATACTAGGAACTGTAATAAAATCTGCTGAATAAATGAATGAATAAACATAAAAATATGTTTAACTACATATTTTTCCATAATGTTTTATTACATGGATGATTATTTAATTTATTTATTTTCAGACAGAATCTCCCTCCGTCGCCCAGGCTGGAGTGCAGTGGCATGATCTCAGCTCACTGCAACCTTCACTTCCCAGGTTCAAGTGATTCTCCTTCCTCAACCTCCCAAGTAGCTGGGATTACAGGCACATGCCACCACACCCAGATAGTTTTTGTATTTTTAATAGAGACAACGTTTCACCACATTGCTCAGGTGGGCCTCAAATGCCTTACCTCGTATGATCTGCCCTCCTTGGCCTCCTAAAATGTGATTACAGGTGTGAGCCACTACACCCAGCCTGGTTTTATAAAGTGATAATCGATTATGTTATTCTAGAATTTACCTAATGATCACATAGGAAATTAATGAAAAGAAATGACCTTTGTTTTCTTCAACCATGACTTTTTAATATCAAAAAATAATGAAACCGTAACGACCAAAATAAATAAAAAATAAACTGAACATTTTTTCTTCTCTCCAATCAGCACTACCTGAACCCTAATCTGGAAGAAAATATCCTTGCCAATTCTTTTTTGAGAGAATAGTGACCATCATGCTGGGGTGGCTTAACATATGTGTGCTGGACTGAATGTCTTGCTTCTGAGGAACAGAGTAATGTGGAAGTAAAAGGTTGTGACTTCTGAGACAAGGCCAGCGAAGGAATGTAGCTTCCTCCTCGCTCTCTCTCACGAAAGGCTAATTCTGGAGAACTTCAGGGGTCATACCGTGAGGACAGTCAAGCCGCCTTAGGGAGTGGTCCATGTGAAGAAGAACAGAGGCTTCATGCCAGCAGCCACTGGTTGAACCCTATAGAAAGCAGTTGCTTCAACCCCACTCAAGACCTAAGAAAACTGTAGGCCTGGCAAGCTGTGATATAGTTTTTAAAATGCTATCTGAACCATTTTGAGACCCTAGCTAGTGTCCAGTCAGTTGTTCTTGAGAGAGTAAGTCCAAATCCCAAACAACTCCCTTCTTGGGCTCTCACAATCTGTGCCACTATACCTCAACCCTAATCACTCAGGGCCAAGTACCAGGAAATCAGGAACAGTCCCTCTGACCAGAGCCCATTGAACATACTCAAGCCGCCTGATCACAAGCCTGCTTACCCTGCCTGGCCTGCTCCTTCCTCCAGAAAGAACAATAAGGACTTTTGCCCACCAATCCCCTTTCTCCCTCTGCCTCATGACCAATGCCCAGTGCTTTCTGTGAACAGCACTGCATGGCCTGCTATTTCTCCCCAGTGAGCTGTGAGTATAGCAGAACTGTAGGACTCCCTCCAGTTTCTCCCTCTGTCTTTCTAAATTATTACTATTATTTAGAGATTGTCTCACTCTGTTGCCCAGGCTGGAGTGCAGTGGCCTGATCATAGCTAACTGTAGCCTCTAACTTTTGGGCTCAAGGGATCTCCCCACCTCAGCTTCCTCAGCAGCTGGGGCTACAGGTGCACACTACCATGACCAGATAATTTTTTAAAAATATTTCTTATGGATGAGGTTTCACTATGTTGCACAGGCTGGTCTTGAACTCCTGGGCTCATGCAATCCTCCCACCTCAGCCTCCCAAAGTGTTCACACCTTATCCATCATGCTCAGCTGTTTCTCTTTTTCGATCTACATCTGGCCTCATCATATCCCACACAAGGTAATATGGTTAAAATACAGACATCTTGGCTATAACCCTCTGAGCGACCCAGACCAGAACCATTCAGTTAATTAAGCTGCTTTGATTGATAATGATTAGAAATTGTGTGAAAAAATAAACTTCTGTTTCTTTTCAGCTAGCAAGTTTGGTGACAATTTGTTATGCAGCAATAGATGACTAATATCCAAAATAACATTCTTCAAAATTGGCCTGAAAGCTAATTTTCTCCTCTCTCTATCCCTCTTTGTCTCTTATATATAATACATATGCGAAGTATGTATCAAATTTCACAAGTATCATATATACATATATTTGCTAGGCAGACAAGTATATCTGGCAGGATAATTATGCCTGTAATTCACAGTAAATTGTAAAAATTATATCTTTGAAAATGATTCCTCTATACATGTGCTTCATAGATTTTTATATAATTAAAACATTTGACCTTAATTTGATTCCACCACTATTCAATTCAGTGAGTTAACTGAGTGGAAAGTATGTGCCTAAAATTCTGGCTGGAACTGATGGGAAGACAAAAGAAGGACAGTGCCCAATTTCTGTCTCCAAGGACAGAATGGTTTAATTAGCTCATTCTTAATATTGTATTGGTAAACCTGATAAAAATGCAAATTTTTATGCCCCGATCAAAACTCTATTTCAGAAAGGATCTGTAATGGATATATAGATATTCGGCTTTTAAAAATGCTCCCAGAAAAATTTTGGGTCCTAGAAAGTTCTTTGAAAAACTGCTCTAATATAAGCTGCATATAGAATTGTTACTTTATGAGGTTTTTTTTTTTTTTTTTTGGAGACAGAGTCTTGCTTAGTCGCCCAGGCTGGAGTGCAGAGGTGCGATCTCGGCTCACTGCAACCTCTGCCTCCCAGGTTCACGCAATTCTCCTGCCTCAGCCTCCTGAGTAGCTGGGACTACAGGCGCCCGCCACTACGCCCGGCTAATTTTTTTGTATTTTTAGTAGAGACGGGGTTTCACTGTGTTAGCCAGAATGGTCTCAATCTCCTGACCTCGTGATCCACCCATCTCGGCCTCCCAAAGTGCTGGGATTACAGGTGTGAGCCACCGTGCCCGGCACTTTATGAGTTGTTTTTTTTTTTTTTAAGATCTAAAGAAGCAACTTAATATATCACTGAATATGCTTAAAAACAAATAGCATCATCTACAATGTAGCGGCACAGCTGCAGATAGGTAGTAAAGAAACCTGTGTTCTGGTCCAGCAGGCCTTCTTTCTCTCTCACACATCGAGCTCAGATTCTTCACCAGTACAATGAAGGAACTGCGCTGCATGTTTCCTTCAAATATTCTCGGTCTTTAAAATTAGACAAGTTCAGAAAGCAAGTTGGTAGACACTGGAATACTATTTTTGTCACACTATCTTAAGTTATGATATTTTCGATTCCAAATTCCTCTTTCTCAGTTCTATGGTACACAAAATTGAGTTAATCACGTATCATTCACATGATTGTTAAAAAGGCTAAATGAAATAAAGTATGTAAAATTGCTTTTAAAGTGCAACAACCCTTAAAGCTCTGTAATGAGAAACGTACCTGCCTCTTCTCATTTAAGCTTCTCAACTACTCTATACAGTTAGTAATATTGTAAATCCATTTTACAGAGGAGGACACCTATATTCAGAAAAGGTAAGTAACTGGCCCAATACCTCCCAGAAACTTACAATATAATCTCAAAGCTTGGATTCAAACTCAGGATCATCTCATCCCAAAATCCAGCATGTAACCATAAACCTATGAGAATTGCCTGGAAGTAAGCCCAGGACAACACACAGTAGGTAACTCAGAGTAAAGCCATTACAGGGAGGGAATCATCCTTTATCCTTCGACTTCAGTATTTCCTTAGCTTCTCTGCTGATACTAACCACTTGATGTACCTGCCAAGAACATCAAATTCTAGACTTGATCCCAGGCCAAGCAGTCCACATTTCCAGCTCAGGAACTATTAAGATTTTGTGATTTTTAGCATCAGGACTTTGGAAAACATGGTTCTGTTCACTTCTTTTCTATGTATTATTTTTAAAACGGTTACCAAAGAGGATGACTTTCATCTTGCATTTTGAGTTTGACTGAATCCTATGACAAAAAGCTCTGGCCCACAGTGACGCATATACCAACAGTATGCCTTGTTCTTTCATACTGATCTTTTTCAGTGGCCTGCTTTGCAGCCAGCTGCAGGAAAATGGCTCAGTCTCATCCCCAAGGGCTCCTAGAGAAATAGCCAAACTACTACATTCTTTGTTTTTGAATTTCCTCATTGTCTATAGGAAGTCTCTGGCTAGCTGTGCTGGAAACTCTGGAAGCAGGTCAGCAAGAGAGGTTCCAGCATTCCTTTCTGCAGTAGTCAGCCAGCTTGCTTTGTGCCTGGCTGGACTCCAGGTATTAGAACAGAAGGAGTGAACCTCTGAAAAAATGCAAACATTCTAGTGATTTCTTACAACATTTGAGTTTCTACCTATTTTCCCAGCTTCTGAGTCATTAACAATCTTCCATCCTCATCAAATTAGATGTGCTCTTGAAAATACTGGAATCAGTATATAGATGAACCTTCAAAGCCATTTAAATATGATGAAGTAATGATTAAAATACAGAAAAAATGAAGTAATAATTCATGCCTTTTGTGCCTTTTCTATCCACAGATTATAAGCTCCATTTGGCGAAGAATATTTTTTCCCCTTGGGGTTTTTCAGCGTCTTCCACAGTGCGTTATTGAGCACTCAGTGAATATTTATTGAATTAAGGAAATAAAACTTAATACATAACTGCAGGAATAAATAAGATTGCTTGAATACATGACCAGTCCTTGACCGTTCCAGACTGAGAGGAGTTATAGTAGTAGATAACTTAAAAGAAAAGATAGTATTTTTTTTCCCAGCATTAAAATGGAAAGTTGAATTCCTGGGGTGCTGAACTAGCATATGCAAAATCAGGAAATTTATTTTCATGCAGCCAGCTCACAATCAGAAGTCAAAACCTTGCCGTTTATGATTTGAATCCATTTTATTTGGCATTCACAGAGTTTTCAAAACAAGTTAAGCCATTAGAAAAATCAGATAATTTCCCATACAAGTTCAGATTTCTGGCTTTCTTTGCAAAATCAGATTATCTCGTGACATGGGTCCTTACGTTCCACATGACAACAAGCACCTGGCTGGCTTCACCCACATAAATTACCTACCTCCCATCTCTATCAAACTTTACGTCTTTGAATCTGAAACAAAATTATGTTCTATTTTAAGTAGCTAGCCAATTATTATTATTATTATTTTCATTATTATTATTATTATTTTAATTGACAGGTAAGGCCAGGCACAGTGGTTCACGCCTGTAATCTCAGAACTTTGGGAGGCTGAGGCAGGCAGATTACCTGAGATCGGGAGTTTGATACCAGCCTGGCCAACATGGCAAAACCCTGTCTCTATTAAAAATACAAAAATTAGCCAAGTGTGGTGGCCACTGGGGAGGCTGAGGCAGAGAATCACTTGAACCTGGGAGGCAGAGGTTGCAGTGAGCTGAGATCGTGCCATTGCTCTCCAGCCTGGGCAACAGTGTGAGACTTTGTCTCAAAAAAAAAAAAATTAGAAAAATAAAATAAAATAAATTGACAGGTAAAATTGTAAGTATCATGTAAAATATCATGTTTTGAAGTATATGTAGATTACAGTTTGACTAAATCTAATTAACCTATGCATCACTTATAGTTATTATTTTTGTGATGATATCAGTATGTCAAAGAGACACTGATATATATCTCTGCACTGCTATGTTAATTACAGCTCTATTCATAATAGCCAAGCTATGGAATCAACCTAAGTGTCCATCAATAGATGAGTGGATAAAGAAAATGTGGTACATATACACAGTGGAATATTATTTAGCCATTTGCAACAATATCTATGAACTTGGAGGACATTATGTTAAGTGAAATAAGCCAGGCACAGAAAGACAACTACTGCATGAACTCACTCACATGTGGATTTTTTACAAATTGATCTCATAAAACTAGACTGTGGTGGTTATCAGGGGCTCAGTTATTGGTGGGGGCAGCAGGTTTAGGGCGATGTTGGTAGCTGGCAGTATTTTAAAAGGTTATCTAATGGTGATTTGTTAATTTTGCAGGATCATAATGGAATTTAAAAATACAGGCTTCTTATATTTCCTTCCTCACTCTACCTTCAAGTAGGGTTTTGGATCTCATATCTCGTACTTTTAACAAGTAATTCTAGGTGATTCTTCTAATTAGGTAAATTTAATACATTCTACAAAAGGAATAATTTTCAGGGGATAAGAAAGAGGAGTCAGCCTGTTCACATAAAGCGTGGGCATTTTTGAACCTTTCCTCCCCCCCAACCTTTCACTATCCCACCATACCTCAACCTCCCACACCTCAACTACTCACCACCAAATACACTGCTTTTATGTGCTTCCCTGGGGGTGCATGGCTCTCTGGTTTGTGTCATTTTATAATAGATACTTTTAAGGTATAAGCCAGCTCTCTCTTCCTAAGATGATTGATATCTCGAACCCACGAATGTCAGCCCCTGTAGCAGTATTTGAACTATATGACCCTGAACTGCTTTCCATTGCTGCTGGAGTCATGATGAAACGCTGACTCTGCTAGGAAATCATCTTTTCCGAGAATTTGGATTTGAGGTTCAAAAAAGACAATTGATTTCTGCCCGATGGTGGAGTCAAAGTGATATAAACTTGTGCTGAAGGATAGCCATGTTGAGTTGTATCACCATGAAGGAGAAGGTGAAATTGATTCTCAGAAAAAGAGAAGGAAGTAAATGCTCAGGAGCAGAGGGAGAAGTCTCCCTGCCTCACATGGATGGAAAAAGGAAACTTTTAGTGGCTTTCCAGCAAGGAAGCCTACTGAGGAAATATGATACTGGCTAGATCTGAGTAAGATACAGGTGCTGATGGCGGGTTAGTGGCCAACACTCTACAGAGGAACCTGTCACTTCTGCTCTACAGCTAAACTCTCACTTCTGGGCAACAAACTCCTCTGCTAACTGCCATTTAATCAACTTGCCCCCCAAAATACAACTTTCATTGTTTCTAGGTTGTATTCATTTTTTTCTCTTTTCTGTTTTATAAATCTTATTTGCCTTTATTGCTTGACTCTAATATCTCACTTCCTCACATGTGAATAAATAATTTAAAGGCAAGACTATTAAACGTTCTGCAAAATAGCTACATACATGTTTCTGAGTTATTCTGCAACACCAGTTCCTAATCCTAATCAGTCCTTATGCTTCTGCCAGCCTGAGAATGTTTCTGTTATGTAGCCAAACAAACCCTCAGGCACAGGTGTGTGTGGCAAGGAGAAAAGAATGAGAATTATGTTCGAACAGTGACTCTCAAAATTTGTTAGGCACTTGAACATTTTAAGGTACAGAATACCAGGTTACACACTGAGATTCTTAATCCATAAGGCTGAGACAGATTTGATAATTGACATTTTTAATAGCACCATGAACTTTCTGATACTGGTAGTCTAAGAACTGTAATTTGAAAAACACTGTTCCAGTGGAAATAAATCTGATAGTAAAGGTAATTGGGGTGCATGATATGTACAGGGGTTGTGGGTAAAATGACATTCTCTTATTAACATCAGAAGGGCATTTCTGATAACCCAAAAAGACACATCATTCCAAATATTATTTGGTAGTAATTAGTTTACTGCCAATTATGCCTGTAGGCATAGCTCAAGTTTTTATAAGAGCTGAGACAGCTAGGTTTAGAAGTATTTTAGGTCAAATGAAGAAAAATGGAGCCAGTAGCTGGTAAACAACAAAAAGTCATCTGTGAATAAATTAGAGAAAGCTAGTGTCTTAGTCTGTCCTTGCTGCTATAATGAAATACCACAGATAAAGTAATTTATACATAGCAGAAATTTATTTCTCAGAGTTCTCAAGGCAGGAAATTCCAGGATCAAGGTGCCAGAAGATTCTGTGTCTGGGGAGGGCTTACTCTCTGCTTCCAAGATGATATCTCTTGCTGAATCCTCACATAATGGAAGAGGCAATAAAGAAATGAACACTGTGTCCTCATGTGGAGGAAGAGATGGAAGGTGCTATGGTCTCAACGTGTTCCCCCAAATCCAAGTGTTGGAAACGTATTCCCCAATGCAACAGTGTTAGGAGGTGTGGCCAAATGAGAAACCTGTTTAGTTCATGAAGAATGGATTAATGCTCTATAAAAAGGGCTGGTGGGAGTGGATTCTCTCTTTCTCCTCCTTTTCTGCCATGTGAAGATATAATGTCCTTCATCTCTGGAGGCTGCAGCTTTCAGGTGCCATCTTTGCAGTAGAGAAACTGGGCCCTAATCTGCCAGCACCTTGACCTTGGACTTCCTAGCCTCCAAAACTGTGAGGAAATAAATTTCCATTCATTATAAATTACCCAGGGTCAGGTATTCTGTTATATAAGCACAACATAGACTGAGACCAAAAGGCCAAAAGGAAACTAGGGCACCTTTTTTTTAAGGCACCTCTTTTATACGGCACTAATGTCATTCATGAGAAGAGGACTTCCCAAACGGCTCCACCTCTTAATACTACCAATTTGGTTCCAACATGTAAATTTTGGAGGGACACATACATTTTAGCCATAACGGCTGGCTCTAGAACAAACTGCAAATAGGTAATTGGCAAGTCAGGGGGACAATTTAGGAATTGATTTGAACTACCAACAATTAGCACATAATCAATTTTTAGAGTCAGTGGGATGGGTCAGAGTTTCTCATTCTCAGCAGTACTGACTTTCTAGTCTGCATAATTCTTTGACTTGTGAGGCAGGAGGAGAGGAGAAGTTGTCCTGTTCATTGCAGGCTATTTAGTAGCATCCTGACCTCTATTCACTAGATTCCAGCAGTCCCTCCCACTAACCGAGACCAACATTGAAATTTCTCCAGACATTGCCAAATGTCCTGTTGAGAAACACTGGTGTAAGGATACCAGGCCAGGGGAAAGGGAGGGTGGAAGAGCCCTGGAGAAAACATCTTATGATCCCTTTGCAAGTTTTACTTTGTTTAAATTTTTCTTTCATATCAAAAGCTAAACTGTATGTAAGCAAATATGGTAGCAATAAAGCTTCTCATTTATGAATTCAAGGCTTTAGTAGACTTATGGGGAAACTTTTTCCCCCAGAATTTGGCTTTGGTATTTTTAAGTTTTAATAAATCTACTTACTGTCATACTGACTCTTGTGCAGCTGGATAAACAAACTCAAGAAACACTCTTAGCCACATCTTCATTAGCAACTCTGCAGGCAAAATCCCTGTCATTTTGAGATGTTTTGTATTCAAAGCAATTGCGGAAAAAAAAAAAGTATTTCCAGACTCTACTGCCTGCTTTAAACTTGTGGTTTTGTCTTTATTATTGGTGTGGCCTATTACTGCTGGCCAACTGGGCAATAAAATTTGCAGCTTAAGTTTGGTGTCTGTTTCTAAACAGTTACAGATGCTATATCCCTAACCTCTGGGGCAGACACTAGTTCTAATACTGCTAGTGGATCAATATAATATACATCTGGCCCTGGTAAGTGGTTCGAGAAATCTGCATCTGAGCTTTCACGGCCAAAGCTGTAGCAAAGGTGGATTATGCTATGAGAAGAATAACAAAGCCGTCTCCATATTCAAATGGCTATGCTGCTTGAAAGCCCAGGTATTGGAGACCTGTGCATAGGAGTTGCTGAATGCACAGCAACTAGTTCTTGAATGTCTTGGCCCCATTTATTTAAAAACCACCAGAATAACAGATCATGGACAAATGTGATTTTAGATCAGGGACTTTATGTAGTGTCTAGGCTTGTTTTATGGCTTGTACTTTATCGTTCTCAGGCTCAGAGCTTGAATTTGCCTATCTTAACATATACAATTAATGCAGAAATCCTCTTGAAAATGTTGTATGACTTTCCAGTCTCATGTTTCACTTGAATTAAGTCACCTCAAGGCATAGCTCCAATTATGGGTTGTGTGGTAAGAGGCTTCTCAGCACAGTCAGGAGAAAGAGTGTGTGACTCTGCTTAGAATGTAGTAACCCACTTTAGACCTTTATGACTTTTTCTCTTCTGTCATAAAATGGGGGCGATAATTCATGTTAAACATTCACCAAACATTTTTCAAAAAGTGCCAGGCTCTGGGATAGATGTTGAGAAATAAAATTTTAAAAGAAAAATAAAAGAGAGAGAGAGGAAGGAAGAAAGGAAGGAAAGGAGCGCGAGAAAGGCTTCTGTTCTGGAGAATCTACTCTAGAAAGCATTGTTTCTGTTGTAAGATAGGTGGTTGTGGGTAGGTTGAAAGATAGGCAAATAAAGAAAACAGATTTTCATAAGTACTTTGAAATCACGGAGTAAAATCTCATGTAGATTTAAGATCCTTTTATATAGAGAGAAATCCCCAGAGCAATAGACTGCACTGTTCTTCACTTACATTAAAATAAGATACTGCTCCAGGATTCTGAATTTAGCAGCTGTTGGTACATGTGTCTCTTGCCACACTCATAAAGGTTTTTAATGTACAATAACATAGCATATAGCTCATCCCTTCTATGGTCGGATGCATTATTTATAATTAACTAACTTTGTACCATCTTCATGTGTGGAAGGAGCAATAATTGGAGCTATCCATTTTTAGTTCACAGAAAACAAGACTCTCTTCATTTTTGACAGTGCCATTTACCTACCACCCTTTCTGCCAATGATTTGAATTGTTCAGTTGTGGCTCTTGTTTTATTTTAATGCATTCACATTTTACCACTATGCAAAGATGTCTGTTCAAAATGAATTAGTCTGAAAGCCCATCTGAGAATGCTGGGAGGCTAGCTGCATCCCCACTGCTTCAGCACAGATGCATGGGGCAGAGCTGAAAGGCCACAATGTCGGTACCTGAATTCATTCTTCTCTAAAGTGAAAATGATCATACTGATATTTCAAAATCTGAAAACAACATTGGAAGAATATTTGCCTGGCAGATGTTCGCGCATTAATTCTCTCTGACTCACCTTGCCCTCGCATCATGAGACACTTTGAATCCATAGAAATAACCCTGCCCCACACTTTGTTCTGAGAAATGTTCTGTACATCTAGTAGCTGTGTTTACTAACCCTAAATTCTAGGCTCCCCTCTGCAAACAGATAGGAATCTCTGGAGTCAGCTCCCCGTTTCCCCCAACTCTACTCTCTCATAAATGTGGTTGGAGGCCATGGGTCCTCTTCCTCTATCAGGGGCCATGTAGAGGCACAATCCAGATTTTACAGGAAGTTGTGTCAGAAGAGGATCCTTGTTTGGGAATAAACCTCAGTGGAGGAGACGAGGCTCTGTATCAGCCCAATTGTTCGAGGTTCAACTCATTTCAAAAGCAGATATAGTACTTACAAAGGGGACTTGAGTGCTACTCATGACTTGAAGGAGTTTTGAATAGGGTACAGGAGTCAACCAGTTGAAATAGAAAGCAGAAAATAAACAACCTAAACGGCCGAATATAGGTACAAATGATATAGTTCTGGAGTAATACATTCTGGCTAGGGAAACTTAGGAGTTATTTACAGAAGAATGTAAGCATCTGAGTTGAGACCTGGATGATCAGATAATTTCAACAGTCAGAAGAATTTTAACTAGTAAGTGGGGTGGTTGGGTAAAGGACACTGTGAGGGAAAGAATGGAATAAGCATAGTTACTGAAGCACCCAAGCAAAAGCAAGTGTGGCTATTTGGACTGGGCTAGGGGTTACTACGGGGCCAAAACAGAAGAGTGATGAGGAGTTAGAGGCCACATTTCACCTCAAAGTTAAATGATTTGAAATTTATTCTGCTAGCAGTCGTCTACTGTTTGATTTTCAGCAGCAAATGATCTAAGCAAGACATTTATTTTTAAAATGTTAAAATATATCTTATTAAATATTACCAAAATAGTATGGGAAATGAAGAGACTGAATGTGTTACTAATCCCCAACTGAGAATGGAATTGTTCATTTGTGAAGCTTGATATTTCCCTGTATTTTTATTACTACTAAGCTATTATTTTTTACATTTGAGGTCAGAGCTTGGGTTGGTTTATGCCAAAGTGTCATCTCAGCTATCTGTGAGAAGCTCCATGTGTGGAGTGCAACAGGAGTCCCAGCCTGCTCTAGGATTTCCACGACCTGGCACTGCACTCACATGTCGTAGTAGCCGGGGCACACTGCCTTCTCCTGTCTGCATGTAGGTCTTTACCGAATACCAGGTCCCATTTTTAAATAAGAGGCTCCTTCTACTTGTTTGTCCCATGCTTCCCCTATTTATACTGCCTGAGAAATTGTTTTCCATCAGTAAAGCTGATTAGTCTTTTCTGTTTTCCCTTGATCTTTGTTAGCATCTGGGCTACAGAAGTTGTCCTCCTATATTAATCTGGGTATTTCGGTTTTGCTTTTCCAAAGGACAGCAAGCTCAGCCAGGCTGCCTCTCAGTTCCAAGGGAGTGCTCATTCCCTCCTTCCCCAGCCCTTGCTCTTTCCAAAAGGATGATTTCTGTCGTCCCAGGGCTTATCCCCTCCCACTCCAGCTCCTCCCATCATTTGAGTCAATCCCACAGCCCCCACTATGGCTCTATTATATAGTTGTCGTCTTCCCATAACCAAAAGGTTTTAACGCCAGCCTGGCAGCGTCTTTAGACTCTCGCACTCCCAAACTGTCCCCTCCTCCAGCTCGACTCCTCCGGGAGCGCGCGGCCACCGCTGCAAGCCCAGAACACAAACGCCTAGAGCTTCCTCCGCTTAGAAACCCGGGGCGCTTGGCCCCGCCTCACCTGCTTTCGGCCCCGCCCCGCCCGCCGCCGGCCTGCTCACGGCTCCTCCCGTCCTCCCCGAAGCCCCGCCTCTGACCCCGCCCTGTCCTGTCTCCGTCCCGCCCCACGCCCGCCAGCCAGCGTCGCTGTCTCTCGCCTTCCCTGAGGCCCCGCCTTCAGCCCCGCCTTCAACCCCGCCCCGTCCTGCCTCCGCCCCGCCCCCGCTTGCCGGCCCGCGTCGCCGTCTCACCCTCCCCGGGCTGCGCGGCCGGAGCTGGCACAGAGGATCCTCGGCCGCGGCGACATCACCGCCTGGGCACGCGGGCGCTGCTCTGGATACGGCGCCACCGAGAGAACCCGCCGCCCGCGGGTCTCTGTCCTGCGGTCCGTGGTTGCCCCCACAAGCGTCCGGCGTTTCCTGAGGGCGGGCGTGTCCGGGCCGTGCGGGTCGCGGGGACCGAGCGCGGCTGAGGAGACCGAGCTGGGGCAGCGCCTGCCGTAGCGCGGGAGACGACGCGGGGGTCTTGCGGAGCCCCGCGGGAGCCTGGCCCGCCGTGCAGAGCAGTTTTCTGGAACTCTCCACCTCCGTCTCCCTTGGGGCCCAGTGCGGCGCCGAGCCCCCGTCGGGATCTGCCTGAGGTAAGCGGACTTGGTGGCTCAGGGGTCTCTCGCCATCCTGCCTCACTCAGCCCCAGAGCGGGGAGCGGAGAATGGGGGCGGCAGGGTCGGAGGACGCCAGTGAAAAAATGCAACAGGCGGGGCGGATCAGGAAACTCCTAGCCTGAATGTTTCCTACAGAGGGGAGACTTGTCCAAGACTGAAACTTGCTTAGGTTCTTCCAGCCGCGGACGGGCACGGAGAGGCGTCTTTCGACACCGGGGTCCGAGCTCCCTCTGGCGGCTCCACCTGAGGACAGGGACTCGGCCACAGGTGAGCGCCGAGCGCGGAGCTCCCGCCCCTCGGCTTGGCGCCTGGTCACGATTCGCGGTTACCCCGCCGAGAAAAGTGACTGGTCCGAGTAGTTCTCATTAGGAAGATACCTTCTGATCCCATGAACTCTAAACCTTCCCCCGGAATTAAAAAAAAAAAAAAAAAAAAAGATCTTTTCAACTTTCAGTTTTTTGTCCCTCGGTCCTTGGGAACAAGAAATAACAAGGATAGCAGGACTCATCTTTGTGTAAACTGCATTTGAATACAAACATTTTTTAAGTGACTGAAGCCACGTTAGTGGCGTTAAACTATAGATATTGTCGGGAGAGTTCTATCTTGTATATTTTGTATTGTTAGTTGCTTGTCTTCTGCTGACGGTCACTGGTTTCCAAATAAGTGCGTGTAAATGGATAAGAAAAAAATCACTTGCCCTAGCTTAGGTTGCAGATAATATGAGATTTTACTGTGATTCTAAAATTTCTATTAAGTGATTGCAGAATGTTTAAGTCATCAGTTTATATTCATTCTCAGCATACCTGAAGCCTCAGAGAATTTTTATTTTGTCCCCCATCCCCAGAAAAGTGTCATGAAAAAAGAGCAGAAGAGAGACCTCACTGTTGCTGAAAGGGGAATTTTCTTTCCCCGTTGGCGGTTACTTCATGATCGGACGAGAAGTATCTAGGTGACTGAAGATATTCCATTTTTATGTTTGTACACATGAAGCTGATAAAAGAAGATGTGAACATGATTTCTCTTTGTCATAATAGGCTGATGAGTAAGTAAGCCTGAAAAATATTTGAAATGAAGGCAAGAATTTTGAATTTTTAAAAACCAACTAAGACTTTGATCACTTGTTGAGGATGTTTCTCTCTCATAAATGAAAGAAAAACGTATTCACAAGACAAGAAGTATAAAAAGTTGAGAGGAATGACAACTGAGTCCACTCACTCGAAGAATGTCAGTACTTCATCATCTTCTTTGGGCAAACATACACAAATGCATCATACATGTGTGGTGAGCTTATCACCAGTGATGGTTTTCTGTGCTAGAAATGACTCTTAATTTGAATTTTGGAGTGCTTTTTCTCTTTTTTTACAATGTGTGTTCCAACTCTTTGTGTTAAATAGATTTAAGTAAAGGAGGTAAATGCTAAATTCATAGTGTTTTTTACCTGTATCACTTCCCTGTGTATTATGGAAAAATTAGAGATTTTAACGTTATTCAAAGTTTTACTGGAAGCAAAACTGTGCCAGGGACAGAGATATACAATTTAAGTTTTCTCTTTTTGGCAACTGCACTTGCTTAAAATGTACTGAATGTCAGCTGGATTTCACAGCATATCAGATTTACAGTCTTTGTCTTATCAAGGCCTTTACTGTATGTTTTATACTAACCAGATGGGAAACACATTGAGCATCATATCTGACATGTATGCCTAAGGGAGGAGCTCCCCCATGGATCATGGCGTTAATGTTTACAGGACATTTACTATTCTTAGCATTATTGATGTTTGCTTTCTCTACTTTTGAGGAATCTGTGAGCAATTATTCCGAATGGGCAGTTTTCACAGATGATATAGATCAGTTTAAAACACAGAAAGTGCAAGATTTCAGACCCAACCAAAAGCTGAAGAAAAGTATGCTTCATCCAAGTTTATATTTTGATGCTGGAGAAATCCAAGCAATGAGACAAAAGTCTCGTGCAAGCCATTTGCATCTTTTTAGAGCTATCAGAAGTGCAGTGACAGTTATGCTGTCCAACCCAACATACTACCTACCTCCACCAAAGCATGCTGATTTTGCTGCCAAGTGGAATGAAATTTATGGTAACAATCTGCCTCCTTTAGCATTGTACTGTTTGTTATGCCCAGAAGACAAAGTTGCCTTTGAATTTGTCTTGGAATATATGGACAGGATGGTTGGCTACAAAGACTGGCTAGTAGAGAATGCACCAGGAGATGAGGTTCCAATTGGCCATTCCTTAACAGGTTTTGCCACTGCCTTTGACTTTTTATATAACTTATTAGATAATCATCGAAGACAAAAATACCTGGAAAAAATATGGGTTATTACTGAGGAAATGTACGAGTATTCCAAGGTCCGCTCATGGGGCAAACAGCTTCTCCATAACCACCAAGCCACTAATATGATAGCATTACTCACAGGGGCCTTGGTGACTGGAGTAGATAAAGGATCTAAAGCAAATATATGGAAACAGGCTGTAGTGGATGTCATGGAAAAGACAATGTTTCTATTGAATCATATTGTTGATGGTTCTTTGGATGAAGGTGTGGCCTATGGAAGCTACACAGCTAAATCCGTCACACAGTATGTTTTTCTGGCCCAGCGCCATTTTAATATCAACAACTTGGATAATAACTGGTTAAAGATGCACTTTTGGTTCTATTATGCCACCCTTTTACCTGGCTTCCAAAGAACTGTGGGTATAGCAGATTCCAATTATAATTGGTTTTATGGTCCAGAAAGCCAGCTAGTTTTCTTGGATAAGTTCATCTTAAAGAATGGAGCTGGAAATTGGTTAGCTCAGCAAATTAGAAAGCACCGACCTAAAGATGGACCGATGGTTCCTTCAACTGCCCAAAGGTGGAGTACTCTTCACACTGAATACATCTGGTATGATCCCCAGCTCACACCACAGCCACCTGCTGATTATGGTACTGCAAAAATACACACATTCCCTAACTGGGGTGTGGTTACTTATGGGGCTGGGTTGCCAAACACACAGACCAACACCTTTGTGTCTTTTAAATCTGGGAAGCTGGGGGGACGAGCTGTGTATGACATAGTTCATTTTCAGCCATATTCCTGGATTGATGGGTGGAGAAGTTTTAACCCAGGACATGAGCATCCAGATCAGAACTCATTTACTTTTGCCCCCAATGGACAAGTATTTGTTTCTGAAGCTCTCTATGGACCCAAGTTGAGCCACCTTAACAATGTATTGGTGTTTGCTCCATCACCCTCAAGCCAGTGTAATAAGCCCTGGGAAGGTCAACTGGGAGAATGTGCGCAGTGGCTTAAGTGGACTGGCGAGGAGGTTGGTGATGCAGCTGGGGAAATAATCACTGCCTCTCAACATGGGGAAATGGTATTTGTGAGTGGGGAAGCCGTGTCTGCTTATTCTTCAGCAATGAGACTGAAAAGTGTATATCGTGCTTTGCTTCTCTTAAATTCCCAAACTCTGCTAGTTGTTGATCATATTGAGAGGCAAGAAGATTCCCCAATAAATTCTGTCAGTGCCTTCTTTCATAATTTGGATATTGATTTTAAATATATCCCATATAAGTTTATGAATAGGTATAATGGTGCCATGATGGATGTGTGGGATGCACATTACAAAATGTTTTGGTTTGATCATCATGGCAATAGTCCCATGGCCAGTATACAGGAAGCAGAGCAAGCTGCTGAATTTAAAAAACGATGGACTCAATTTGTTAATGTTACTTTTCAGATGGAACCCACAATCACAAGAATTGCATATGTCTTTTATGGGCCATATATCAATGTCTCCAGCTGCAGATTTATTGATAGTTCCAATCCTGGACTTCAGATTTCTCTCAATGTCAATAATACTGAACATGTTGTTTCTATTGTAACTGATTACCATAACCTGAAGACAAGATTCAATTATCTGGGATTCGGTGGCTTTGCCAGTGTGGCTGATCAAGGCCAAATAACCCGATTTGGTTTGGGCACTCAAGCAATAGTAAAGCCTGTAAGACATGATAGGATTATTTTCCCCTTTGGATTTAAATTTAATATAGCAGTTGGATTAATTTTGTGCATTAGCTTGGTGATTTTAACTTTCCAATGGCGTTTTTACCTTTCTTTTAGAAAACTAATGCGATGGATATTAATACTTGTTATTGCCTTGTGGTTTATTGAGCTTTTGGATGTGTGGAGCACTTGTAGTCAGCCCATTTGTGCAAAATGGACAAGGACAGAGGCTGAGGGAAGCAAGAAGTCTTTGTCTTCTGAAGGGCACCACATGGATCTTCCTGATGTTGTCATTACCTCACTTCCTGGTTCAGGAGCTGAAATTCTCAAACAACTTTTTTTCAACAGTAGTGATTTTCTCTACATCAGGGTTCCTACAGCCTACATTGATATTCCTGAAACTGAGTTGGAAATCGACTCATTTGTAGATGCTTGTGAATGGAAGGTGTCAGATATCCGCAGTGGGCATTTTCGTTTACTCCGAGGCTGGTTGCAGTCTTTAGTCCAGGACACAAAATTACATTTGCAAAACATCCATCTGCATGAACCCAATAGGGGTAAACTGGCCCAATATTTTGCAATGAATAAGGACAAAAAAAGAAAATTTAAAAGGAGAGAGTCTTTGCCAGAACAAAGAAGTCAAATGAAAGGCGCCTTTGATAGAGATGCTGAATATATTAGGGCTTTGAGGAGACACCTGGTTTACTATCCAAGTGCACGTCCTGTGCTCAGTTTAAGCAGTGGAAGCTGGACGTTAAAGCTTCATTTTTTTCAGGAAGTTTTAGGAGCTTCGATGAGGGCATTGTACATAGTAAGAGACCCTCGGGCATGGATTTATTCAATGTTGTACAATAGTAAACCAAGTCTTTATTCTTTGAAGAATGTACCAGAGCATTTAGCAAAATTGTTTAAAATAGAGGGAGGTAAAGGCAAATGTAACTTAAATTCGGGTTATGCTTTCGAGTATGAACCATTGAGGAAAGAATTATCAAAATCCAAATCAAATGCAGTGTCCCTCTTGTCTCACTTGTGGCTAGCAAATACAGCAGCAGCCTTGAGAATAAATACAGATTTGCTGCCTACTAGCTACCAGCTGGTCAAGTTTGAAGATATTGTGCATTTTCCTCAGAAAACTACTGAAAGGATTTTTGCCTTTCTTGGAATTCCTTTGTCTCCTGCTAGTTTAAACCAAATATTGTTTGCCACCTCTACAAACCTTTTTTACCTTCCCTATGAAGGGGAAATATCACCAACTAATACTAATGTTTGGAAACAGAACTTGCCTAGAGATGAAATTAAACTAATTGAAAACATCTGCTGGACTCTGATGGATCGCCTAGGATATCCAAAGTTTATGGACTAAATGCTGCAGGTCAGCAGAAATTTGCACTAATAATACTTACCAACCCACTTTGTGGATATGAATCAGAAGAGTTTGTTTATTCTTTAGTGTGTGTGTGTGTGTGCACGCGTGTATGTGTTCAGTGTTGTTTGCACAGAGAGATTGTTTTAAAAAATGGCACCATATTTGGCCTAGCAGGATTTATTTTTATGTCATCACCTCCCTTGCCTTTGTTTCTGAAAATTTTGTCTGCTAAAAAGTTTCTGCTACAGAGTGGTAGATGAAGTTATATCATGGGGTCAGGGGAGATGGGAAAATTTTAAGTTTTTGTCTAACTCCCCTTCATCTGTAACTGTGCTAATCTATCTAGAGACCTCAAACACTGCTAAAGGCCTTGCAATTGCTGCTTTACCCACGCATCTCTTGCTTTCAAGATGGACTACAAAAGTTCCTTATCCTTTTGAAAAGGTCTTCTGACACACTTATCTTGCACAAAGAAAAAGAAAATTTCTTTTACTGTGTTTAATGTTCAGTGATATCACTGAGGAAATGGTGAAAGCTCCTATCAGAACTATAGGATTTCTTCTGGGAAATACAGATGGAAATACAGAATGAATATGTTTTTTTGAGGTCGGAAACTGACTTTAAAAGCCTCCTTGAAGTTTTTTACTTAGAAATATAAGGAATAAGTCTTTGAACAATCTGGGTGGCAAGGGCTGGTAGATTATTTTAGACATGATTGTCTGTTTAAAACTCTCCTTTCACTTTTTATCCTCCCTGGAGCTACAGCTGTTCGCCATCACATCACTCCCATCCTATCCTTTCTGTCACTGTCAAGCAAAACAATCAGTAGTTACTAATCGCTGAACTCTCAATATTGTGGGGCATTTTCCCCCCAGTTGATTAATTTTGCGTTAAAGACTGACACAGACTTAGAATCAAATTTATTTTTCTGGAATTAACACTCTGTGACTCAAAGTAGTGCCACTGCAGTGTCTTTTTAAACTGGAAACAGAATTGGAAAACTGCCTGACTTATCTTGCATCCCTTTGAATGAGTTTACAGACTGCCAGTGTCTGCAAAAGTTGAAAGCAAATGGGAGATGATGTCAGAGGCATCTGTTTCCTTTACCATCTGCATCTTATTATAAATGTAGTCGTCATAAAGTGTGGTTTATTTTATTTTGGTAGGCTCTGAAATCAAAATGCTACGCCATTATAAGCCAGTGGAGTAATTACAATGTATTGGATGAAAACATAAGGCAGTGTGGAGACTTGATGAAAATCTCTGTACAGATTGCAGTCTTCTTCCTGATGTTTCAAACTGTGGTTCCCCCAAGCTCTCTAACACTTGGAAGTCTGTCATTCTGACCTAGATAAAAGTGGTTCTTTCTCAGTAGTTATTATTATGTCAAAATGTGCCTCCAGAGTGATAAAGCTCTGTATATGTTAGATTCCAGCTAAACCTAACTTGGCTGTCATTTTTCTTCCATTATAGTGTGAGTGGAGACTGCCCCCCCTCCCCAACATATTCCTTCCCATATCTCTCATGATTGTCCCTCTGTAATTTCAAAATGAATGAAATTCATGTGAATGTAGGTTGAGAGGGCACTGAAGACCTGAATCTACACTAGTAATCTCAAGAAAGATTATTCATTCTATCTCAGAGTTACCGGCAAGCATATAAAATGCTACTTGGATAATATCTACATGAATATTGCATGCTACATGGTTGATAACACTATTTCCATTATTGGGCAGAATCTCAGTGTTTACTTTCAATTCCTAGGATATGTGATCGTGAATCAGATCACATATAAAAAGTCTGGATTGTCAGTAGTATTAGATCTGATCAAGGTAGGAATTACAATTGCATGCAGGTAGCAAGCAAGAAAGCAGAAACTACTGTTCCCTTTATTTTAACATTGTACAGACAATACAGAAATGTACCTGTTGGCGGCCGGGTGCAGTGGCTCACGCCTGTAATCCCAGCACTTCGGGAGGCCGAGGCGGGTGGATCACGAGGTCAGGAGATCAAGACCATCCTGGCTAACACGGTGAAACCCCGTCTCTACTAAAAAAAAAAGTACAAAAAATTAGCCGGGCGTGGTGGCGGGCACCTGTAGTCCCAGCTACACGGGAGGCTGAGGCAGGAGAATGGCATGAACCTGGGAGGCAGAGCTTGCAGTGAGTGGAGATGCGCCACTGCACTCCAGCCTGGGCGACAGAGCGAGACTCCGCCTCAAAAAAAAAAAAAAAAGAAAAAAAGAAATGTACCTGTTGGCAGGAGAAGGCCAGATGGAGTATGTGGAGTAATAGGGAAAGAAGAGTTACAGAAAATGAAAAAGAAAATGAGTTACACTGAGAATGAATATGGGAACACGTCATTGATAGCAAAAGAAAGGTACAGGCTTACGAAAATGATCTTTACAATGTATCCCAGCTTTCACCCCCACATGGCAATGCAGAGTTGTATTTACTTGTTTCTGTACTCACCTACTCCCACCCCAAGGGAAAATTTTAGACATGAACCCTACTATTTAGTTATTCTAAAATAGAAAGTTTGCTGGAGAAAGCGTCCACTCACAGATTGTTCTGTAAGGAATGTTATGTATGGGTGAGCGGGTGACACATCCATTGGGTATGTATGCATGTGATGGTGCCTGAGACCCCTGCCTTAGAAACAGAATTCCTAAGGGGATTGACTCTCCCAGCATGTTCCCAGGTCCTGCACCCTTAGGGTGATCTAGGAAAATTTTAAATAGCTTCTACTCTTATTTTTGTTCTTTGAAATAATTAAAAGAGGGATTATCACTATCTGATACTTCTGAAAGAAACACTTACAAAATTTCTTATCTGTAAAATCCGTCTTTTTCTACATTAACTTCCCCAAACATAGGCCTAATTGAGATAATTGCTTTTATTATAATAATAGGATTGAAATTTTAAAATTTTGAAAGGACTTATTAATTTTGCTGACAAAAGTGAAGTAACAAATATAATGATAATTGGCTTTTTAAATTTTCAAACAACATAGATTTACTCAAGATGAAATAAAAAGGCCATATTCAGAGTTGAATTTAATGAAAACTCAGAGGAAATAGGAAAATCTGCTCAGGAGAAAGAAGCTAAATCTGCATAGATTTAGTTTGTAGAATTTAATTTAAAATTTAAATTTTAACAAAGTGATGACACAACAATATGTACGTTTAGGTGTGGACACCAAAATATTAGACATTTGATTGTCCTTTTACATAGAGAATAACTAATAAATGCCTGACAAGAATGGGACAATCCTTCCTTGTATCAAAATTCCCAGGTCTTGCTACATTGCCCTCTGCAAATGTATTCAAAGAAGAACCTCCTCCACCACTTACTTTTGGTTGGCATAATTGTTCAGCAACGATTTCTGTACATCACCAAGTATCTTTGGCATTCTTGGTATACAAAGTATATCACAATTTTAAGTGAGTAAATATTAATGATAATTTTTGAATTGCTTTGTTTGGCTTGATTAACTTTGATCAGAAATAGAAACGTTTTCATTTGTTGATTTAGGAAAAAGCATAAATAGAATGCAGTATAACACCACTTCCAAAGGTAAGGATACCTAACATTCTTTTTTTTTTTTTTTTTTTTTTTTTTGGGATGGAGTCTCACTTTGTTGCCCAGGCTGGAGTGCAGTGGTCTGATCTCGGCTCACTGCAACCTCCGCCTACCGGGTTCAAGTGATTCTCCTACGTCAGCCTCCTGAATAGCTGGGATTACAGGTGCACGCCACCATGCTTGGCTCATTTTTGTATTTTTAGTAGTGACAGCGTTTCACCACATTGGTCAGGCTGGTCTCAATCTCTTGACCTGGTGATCTGCCCACCTGGGCCTCCCAAAATGCTGGGATTACAGGCATGAGCCACCACACCTGGCAAGGGTACCTGACATTCTAAGATATCAAGACACTTAATATGTGGGCTATTAGCTGCTTATTTAAATGTTGACCAAATTGTCTGATATATCTGATTAATCATGATTTCACTTCATTTCGGAAGAAAAATTATCCATATCATTTTTAAAGACGCAAATGACTTTGGATTTTTGCATAGAGTACAATAGACACTTCAAACAATAGATTCTAACATTCTCTGAAACACTTGAGATGTTTGAGCTACCATTTATATGGGTTATTTATATTTAGTCTAAGTAACACATACATGTTTAATTGATTCTGTTTTCATGGATAGATTCAACTAAGTCTTCCAAGCAATTAATTTTTTGTTCGTCGTCGTTTTTCCTTCATACGTTATCTAGTTATGCAGCACTGGAAACAGACTGAAGATCATAAACCAGTTTTATCAGACCTATGTGTAATAAGACTCCTGTTAATACAAAAATAAAAAGCTAAAAGCAACTTGTCTATGATTGGGATAATTTTATCTTACCCCTTTTCCCTAGGTCTTTGAGTAATGCTATTAAGATTTTGTATGGAGCTGAGGAACCAGCAGTTGGAAAATGCAGGACAAGTTGAATACCGATCCCCAAACCCAGAATTTTAGCAACTGAACTTGGTCCTTCTCCACCTCCCCCAACCCCTGACTCTCGAGTCTCTGTTCCCCTAACTTAATTCCAGGTCCTGACTGCAACTTTCTAAATGGCAAGGATGTACCTGTATTAAGAATCTGTATTCTACATCTGCCCTTCCTGCTGCTAGTAAGATCTTCATTCAGGCATGATATCACTAAAAGAAGAAACTTCTTGCAAGTTACTTGAGGTATACATCACTAAAGTGATGTACAAGGTTAGCACATTGAAGATGCTTTTTTTTTTTTTTTTTTTTTTTTTTTTTTTTGAAACGGAGTCTCGCTCTGTCGCCCAGGCTGGAGTGCAGTGGCGGGATCTCGGCTCACTGCAAGCTCCGCCTCCCGGGTTCACGCCGCTTTTTTTTTTTTTAATAGAAGGGATTTAACACTACTTCCAGAGGTAAGGTTCCCTAACATTCTAAGATATCAAGACAATTAATATGTGGGCTGTTTACTGCCTGTTTAAATGTTGACTGAATTGTCAATAATTGGTTTACTTTGGATAAGGATCTGTCATGAATTAATCACTTAATATGTGCTGCACATTGAATCATAAGGTTTTTGTGTATCATTACAATCCTCACAACAACTCTATCAAGTAGTTATTTTACATATATGTTTGAAACTCATGTCAAGTGATTTGTCCAAAGCAAATCAGCTGATAAGTGGTTTGACCAAGATTTAGGCACATGTTTTTTCAGTTCTAAAGTTTTTTGAAGGAATTTTGAATGGATTTATAATTCATTATTTATTTGCCTATTCACCACACTTTTGTTACTTTTGAATCAACGGGTACTTTTGAATAAAAGGAACAATCAATGTATCTACTGTCAAGGTACTGATTAGCATAAAGGAAGAACATAAAAATCAATTGACTATGAATATCCTCAGTGAGGAATTGGCAATCTCTCTAGAGACTTTGAAACTCTTAGGAATTCATCAGGAAGAGAAAGAGTGAGAGGAGGGGCATGCAAGGTAGTGATTACCACCCAAGGAAAAGCCCCAAGAAGTGGTAGCTGTTCTATAGTAGACATGGCTTATTTATTTCTGAAACAGCACGGTTATGAGGAAAAAGAAGAAACTTCTTGCAAGTTACTTGAGGTATACATCACTAAAGTGATGCACAAGGTTAGCACATTGAAGATGCTTTTTTTTTCTTTTTCTTTTTTTCTTTTAATAGAAGGGAGTATAACGCTACTTCCAGAGGTAAGTTTCCCTAACATTCTAACATATCAATTAACTAGGGGGAATTATGATAGGTAAATTTGAGTAGCGATCACCACTAGGTTTTGACTATATACTTCTCACAGCACATCCCATCAATCTTCTAAGAGAGATTCTGGGTTATCCATAAGTGCAAATAGAATAAAACCACTGGAACTCACTCTTGCCATTCCCATTCACTCAACTACCCCAAGTTTGCTCTGTATTTGAATATCAAGGAATGCCCTGGAGAGAGAGAGAAAAAAAAAAGGCCTGAGTGTGGTCTGACTGGCCTGTGTGTAGACCATTGCTAGTAATGGCAGTAAGATGGACAACTCAGTGTATTTGATTCAGGCTCCGTCAGGCTTTTCTTTTCCTTCTCTCCCCCTCCCTGAGACCTCCAGATCCAAAGTGCCAGGCACAGCTCTCAATCCTGGGAATGCAATGGTGAACAAAGTATACATGGGCTCTACCTCCATGAAGCTGACAGCTTAGAGGGAACTAAAAAGAAACATTCTTTTTCCACTTTTCACAAATTTCCCAGCATAAAGGAGGCTATACCAAGTAGAAGCGAATGCTGTGAATTCTGTGACTAACAGTTGATCAAATACATTCAAATAGAGTTTGTTTTAGGGGAAAAACAACACTCTGTTGTTCTTTTCCCTGTCTTCTAAATAATGACAGAAGAAAGGAAACAAAGGAGGGAGGAAAGGAGTGAAATGGGAAGAAAGGAGAAACCCTAAATCTGAACACAGCAAATAAAGTACTCAAGGAGAATCATTCCAATAACAATGGTGTGTTAATTATTGTATCAACTATTTAAAAGACTGAAATATTAGGGAAGATGATACTTGGTAGGACAGAAAGATAAATTATAATCTAAGCCGATACTGTTTCACAGTACATGGCAATTGTTCTTCCTATTTTATACTATTTCTTTAAACGATTTCTGTATTGCTGACTCTTGAATGTAATTTTTCTTTCAACTGTATTAACACTGATGTTGAATTTCACCTAATGTCTCAGGTTTTCAACTGTCCTAGATAAGCCAGTGTCCTCTCATATATTGTGTTTTGCTCTGTTTCTGACCTCGGGATACATACATTATTCTTTATGGTTTAAAGAGGGAAATATTCATGGTCATGCAACATCTTTAATGCTCCTTGTTTCTCTTTTTGGAAGTCAATTTGGCTCCTATTACTGGCACTTCTCTCATTTGCTAAATGAGAAACATAAACTTTTCAATCCTTGCATTAAAATCTGACACCCCTTGATGAACAATAAGTTTATTTTTACCTTGTTCATTGCACTATGCAAATAATGCTCCAAACCCTTGTACTATACTGAAAAATTAATGCCAAGTTTTATTGATTTTTTTTTGTTTTAATATGTTCATTCCTTCACTCTGTTCCAAAAGATTACTTTTTCTCTAGATTTGTTTACATTGCTTGCAACTTTAAAATATGGTTAGTTTAACTTTATGGACCATTTTAATTTGATGCTTTAATGCAATATTTCACTTAACATTGAAGGGAGATTTATATGTATAAAAACAATACAACCAAGAAATGATGAAATTGCTTTGAGGGGATACACATTAAAATATAAGTTCATACAAAGGATATAGCTACTATAAGTTAACCCCACATAAACAAAACAGAAGGTTTTTACTGTTATTTTTAAACATTAATCTGGGCACCCTGGCTAGTTCAGTGCTAACTGGAGCACAACATGCTTACAGTTGGCTTATGTACACCAACTAACTTCTGATTATCTCTCTAGATTTACTGAAGTAAACTGAAATGTACACATATCCAGTTGTTACTTTGACTGTTTCCTAACGGTAATTATAAAACTATCTAAAATATCCTATTGTTGAACACATGAATAAAAAGATGCGTGCTTGTATACACATACACAAACTTAAAATTTCATTACCTTAAGAGGCATAAGGTTTTCTCTGTGCAAGCAGCAGGTTGTACTGGTGGGTTTTTCACAAGCTTTGTTTTTACCTTTCCCCCATTTTCATCCTTAATTTGAAGGGGGACATTGCCGTTGAAAATGTAATAGACACAACAAGTTTATATTTAATAATGATCTTTGGAATTAGAAATAAGTACAAATCCCCTAGTCGGTATCTACTAGTTCTGAGGTCTTATGCAAGTTTCTTAATTTTAAATCTTCATTTTTCTATCAGTAAACTCCCTCAGAGTTGGCGCAAGGATTTTCAAAAAGTATGTAAATTAATTATAGTAATTATTTCCTCTTTGTGACCATCTCCAATATTCTTGTCTTAATTATGAGAGAGAGAGAGAGGCAGCAGAGGTATATTTACTTTTATTCTCTTACAGTATATGCCCAAAGAGAAAAACCAATATAAAATATGATGCATCTGTTTTTAAGTGAGAAAATATTAAAAATATTTTCAAATAATTTTGACATATATAGTTAAGATATGTAGATATCTATACTAATCAGCCACCTATTTTAGTACTTACTGTATTAATTGAGTTGCACAAACTTGTAAAATAAAAATTACACAATATTATTTAGAAATGATTAATATGATTTAGAAATACTGCTTTTTTAAGCTTCATATTTCAGTAAACAAATTTGATTCAGCCTTTCACTTCACCTTCAATATCTTCATTTCCAGAGCCATATTTTGTCTTTTTCCAAAGTATACTTATTTCTGAGATTTATTGAGATACAAACATTTCTGAATTCAAGTTTGATGTTGTCATTCAGTTTTATTCCATGTCACAAGAGCTTTTTTTTTTTTTCTTTTCTTCTTGGAGACAGAGTCCTGTCACCCAGGCTGGAGTGCCGTGGCACAATATTGGCTCACTGCAACCTCCGCCTCCCGGGTTCAAGCGATTCTTGTGCCTCAGCCTCTGGAGTAGCTGAGATTATAGGCACCCACCACCACATCAAGCTGATTTTTTTGTATTTTTAGTAGAGACAGGGTTTTGCCATATTGGCCAGACTGGTCTCAAACTCCTGACCTCAGGTAATCTGCCCCGTCATCCTCCTAAAGTGCTAGGATTATAGGCACGAGCCACCCTGCCCGGCCACAGGTGCCATTTGCATAACATTAAGCATAACTGCATTCGTACCTTCATTTGATAGGCATATATTTGTGATTGTCTACATTATTGTATTTTTTCCATTTCAATTTTTTCCAGTTAAGTATACATAAACTCAGCTTGTTTTAGAAATTACATTTACTCCACTGACTATGATAGAATAAATGGAAACCAGTTGGAGGAAGTGTATTCAAATTACATATAAATGTATATGTATATATTACCTTAACACCATACATAACAGAGGATTATATCAATATAAAACTATTAAGTACCTAGAATGAACTTTTCTGTTAATTCACAGGCTATTCACACATATTTTTTGGGTAGCAATAAAATTCTACAGTATCTCATCTTTTGGTTGGTGCTTTGTAGGTTTGGATGCTTTCTTTTTCATGGCTTGTATGTTGGGACCAAGGAGCAAATTCCAGAGGCTCCAGTCAGAAACTCCACCTTTCAGTGAGGAGAGTAGGAGAGTGTGCACCTCTGAAGTAGGACTGAGTGTCATAGTACTATGCTAGTGGGGCACATACCCTCAATAGCGAGTCAGCCCTTGTGTGTGATTGTTTATTATTGGATATTGTTCCCACATCCTTGCATTAGTTGTCTCTAGGCAGTTATATACCACTATTGTGTTGATTCTTTTATATACGAGCTTTATTGCCCCTCTCTGTTGAACTGTAGGTATTTGGATATGCAAAATAGATTGCACTAATATGTTGACAATGAAAAAAATGCATTGACCCTAGCTGGGAATTTGGAAGCCCTCCCCTATGGTATTGATACGTTGTTGTGGCCACAACTGGGATTTAGATTTAGAATTCATATACTCACACATTCTACAAAATGTTATGAAACATATGTAATATGAAAGATAGTAATAAAATGGACATGAGTGTACACACCAACCACTGTAAGAAATATGCAGTTAATATTAGTAGTTAAGCCCTCCATCTGACCTTCCATTTTCACATTGTCTGCTCCCACCAACCATCCCAGAGGTAACTTCTGTCCTGGATTTTGTGTTTATCATTTCCTTGTTCTTCTTTATAGCTCCACTATATATAGCTCTATCTTCATCAACATACTGTATGATTTTGCATGTTTGTAAATTTTATTTTAATACTAACTGTATTAGTCAGGGTTCTCCAAAGGGACAAAACCAATAAGATAAGGTTGTTAGGGAGAATTGGTTTATAGGATTACAAGGGGAAGTTCCAGAGTAGGTCATCTGCCAGCTGGGGAAAGAGAAGCTGGTAGCACTGCTCAGTCCAATTCCAAAAGCCTCGAAACCAGGGAAGCCAACAGTGCAGCATTCAGTCTGAGACTGAAGGCCCGAGAACCCCTGACATGCTGCTGGTTCAAGTCCAAATGCTAAAGAACCTGGAGTCTGATGTCCGAGGTCAGGAGGAGAGGAAGCCAAGTATGTGGCACAGCAGGAAAAGAAAGAGAGCAAGCCAACTCAGCAAGCAACCTGTCTATCCCAGTTCTGCTGCCTGCTTTCTTCTAGCCTTGCTGGCAGCCTATTAGATGGTGTCCACCCCCACATTGAAGGTGGGTTTTCCTCTCCCAGTCCACTGCCTCAAATGCCAGTCTCCTCTGCCAACACCCTCACAGACACACCCAGGAACAACGCTTCATCAGCCATCTAGGAATCCCTCAGTCTAGTCAGGTTGACACCTAATACTAACTGTCACAGTAACACATTGTACCATTAGTATCCAACTTGCTTTTATTTTTTGCTCAAAATTTTGTCTAATGTGATGTTTGTAGGTGGAGATCACATATTTTCACCATGGTAGTGATTCATTATATGAATATGCCGTTGTAGGAACATGCCATACCTTATCTTTTAGCTGCTTGATAGATTTTAGGGATATTTCTAGTTTTTGCAAATTCAAGTAATTTTTTATTAAAATTCTTAAGTATGTTCCATAAAATACATGTGCAGGAATTTAGTTTTTTTGTTGGTTTGTTTGTACTAAGAACCTTCACTCCCACACCCACTTAATCTTCCTTTTTAGCATATATATCTAGAGCTGAAAGGTTCTGGATTAATATGATCTGTACATCCTCAACTATTATAGACAATGCCAAATTATTTTTCAGATTGTCTGTATAAATTAACACCAATATAGAAGAGTTTCTGTGCTAGATTTTCTTCTGCACTTGACATTTACAGAATTTTTAATATTTCCGTGTCTGGTGGGATAAAAGAATGTCACCTTATGGTTTTCATTTACATTTCTCTGACTAATAATGACTTAGAACTTATAAACACAAGTGTGTGTGCACCTGTACACTTATACCCACCCACCCATCCAAACCCACACACCCACCCAAACTCACATATATAGCCTTTATTTTTGCCATGTGTGTTTCTTTTCTGGAATGAAATTGGGGTCATTTCTTTTACCCCTTTTTCTATTCAGTTATTTTTTATTGACTCACTAAAGTTTACTATATATTATGAATACTAATCCTATTTTGTTTATATGTATTTTGAATAACTTTTTGGCTTATGTTCTTGATTTTTGTATAATGACCCTTGTGATAGCTTTAGATATACAGGTGTTCTTAATTTGAAAGTAATCACACATGTCAGTGTTTTCTTTTATTATGTGTACTGTTTTTGCATCTTACTAAAATTTTTTCCCCAAGATGTTGGCCCTAAAAATGTTCTCCTATATTTTCTCCTAAGCATTTTTTAAAATTATTTATTGCTGCCTAACAATATTACCAGAAACCTAGTGGCTTGAAACAACATGCATTGATTATCCCACAGTTTCTGTAGATCAGGAGTCAACCATGACTTAGTTGGGTACTCTGCTTTAGGGTGTTTCACAAAGCTGCAATTAAGTTGCTGGCTAGGGCTGCAATCTCATCTGAGACTCAACTGGGGAAGCATGTGCTTCCAAGCTCACATGATTGTTGGCAGGATTCAGTACCTTATAGATTGTTTGACCTAAAGCTTCAGTACTTTTCTGGTTGTTGCCTGGGGTCCACCTTTAGTAGCTTCCATGTGGACCTCTCCGTATAGCAGCTTGCTTCATTAAAGCCAGGAAGACAGTCAATAGAGAAACTCTGCCAACAATGTAGCATAAATTATGAAAGTGACACCCATCATAGTTGCTGCATTCTAATGGTTGAAAGCACGTCAGAGGTCCCATCCATACTCAGAAGGAAGGGGCTACACAAAGGCATAAGTACCAGGAGATGGGGATAATTTGGGGGTCATATTGTAGTCCATCTGCCACAGATTTTGTCTTTCATATATAAGTATTTAATCTACTTTATATTAATTGTTGTCTCTATTCTGACTTTTATTTTGTATGAATAACCTATTGTCCTAAAGAGATTGAATAATCATGTTTTTTTTGTTTGTTTTTTTTCCCCACTAACCTTCAATGCCATCTCTACCAAATATCAAGTCTCCGTATTTTGTAGGAGGCTACTTTGGGCTTTCTCTTCTATTCCACTGGCAAATTTGATTACATCAATGGCAATACCACACTGTCTTTATTACTACAGTCTTATTGTTAGCCTTGAAATCTGGCAAGATGAGTCTTTATTTTCTTTCTCATTGTTGTCTTGGATTTTCTTAAGCCTTTGTTCTTACATATGCATTTTAGAATTAGTTTGCACGTTTACTCAAAACAAACAAAGAACAATGCATTTTAATTTTAAATGCATTGTATCAGTTTTGGGAGAGTTGACATCTTTACATTAATTAGTCCCTATTCATGGGCATGGTATGCATCTCCTTTTATTTAATACTTGGTAGTCCTTTGGTAGATTTAAGTCAGAGCACTTTATATATTGTTATTACCTTGGATTATATTTATTGTTAATTATATGTTCTAACTCTTCCTAGTATACAGAAAATACAGTTTATTTTTGTGTATTTATATTGTATCAGGGACCTTATTAAATCTTCTTACTAATTCAACAATTTGCCTGTAAACTCTTTGGAGATATTTATGTATATGGTTTGGTAACATGTAATTACTAAGAATTATATTTTCTTTCTAATTGTATAACTTTTTAATATTCTTACTGCATTTGTTAGGACCCTCTGTGAAATACTGAATAGATATGGTAATACCTGTAATGGGTATTGTGCTATTTATAATGTTAATGGAGTGCTTCTAACATTTCACTACTTTCCAAAACGGACATTATATGTATTTCATAGGTTCACCTTATCAGGACGTGATATTCCCTTCTATTCTTAGTTCGATAAGTGACATCTTATCATAAATCCATGATGAAATTTATTGAATGTTTTTCCTCCATCTTATGAATATTCTCCTGTGTTTCTTGCCTTTATCTGTTAATGTAATGCATTTTGTGAAAGTCTTTTCTTATTTGAGATTAAATTCAACTTGGTTTGCTATGATAAAGTGAGCCTGGGAATGATTCATTATATTTGTATAGTTTGCTGAATTTTCTTTGTTAATAATTAGTTTAAGATGTTTACATCAACAATCGTAATTGTGATTTGCCTGTAATCATCTTTTCTCATATTGTACTTGCCTAATCTTGAAGTCAACATTATACTTGTCACATAAAATAAGTTGGAAATCTTTCAGTTTTATGTTCTTTAGAAGAGTTTGCATAAGATCGAAATGATTTAATGCTAGAATGTTCCTTAGAACCTATCTGTAAAGCTGTCTGACCATTGTATTTTCTTTGTGGGAAGCTTTTTAACAATGCGTAAAATTGTATTTTGTGCTTATAGACTTATTCTATTTAGCTCATATAGTTATTTTGTAAGTCTGTTTTGGCAAGTTGTGGTTTTAAGAATTTGTCTTTTTGGTCTCATTCTGTTACATAGGCTGCATTGCATGGCGTGACCTTGACCGCCTGGGCACAAGCAATCTCCCACCTCACCCTCCCAAATAACTGGAACTACTGCTGCACACCACCGCACCTGGCTAGTTTTTTTTTTTTTTTTTTTTAATTATTTTTGTAGAGATGGAGTCTTACTCTATTGCCCAGTCTGTGTCCTTTTCTTTTTCACATTTATTGACCCAAGTTTACTCAAAATGCAGATTCTGTTGCCTCTCTATTCATCCCCTACATATTTTTTCTATCCTTAATATTGAGCATGTGTGCTTTATTTCCTTTTATTACTTAATTGGAGTTTCCCTTTTATAATGTGTCTTTTTGAAGATTAATTTTTAGTTTTACTTTGTTTCTAACTTCTATTTTATGTACATTTGCTGTTGCATTAACTTTGGCTTCTGATTTTACCTATTTCCTTCATTCTATTTTATTTTTTTCTAATTTGCTTTCGATGGTGTGTTTTGTATCTTCTTTAATGAGATATATGATCCATTTTTTTTTGCCGGACTCCTGCCAAAACCCACCAGGAGTAAGCTGGATTTATTGCTTCTTTTAGTGAGAGAGATTTAAGAAGTGTGGCTTTTCTCTGGATTAGCTGCTCTTAGGAAGTGGGAGTAGTTCTATGATTGGGTATCTGAATAAATCTTATCTAGAAGGAGACATGAATGCAGAGAGGCTAAAGCTGTAATTGATGAAAAAGTAGCCATTGCTTATATTAACCGGGAGACATGAATGTGCACTATTTTGTGGTTTAGAAAATGTTTATACTTTTTCTGTATTCAAACATGATTATGGAGTAGTGTCGTTTTTGTCTTGATCACTGAGGTGACAGAGTGGCTTTGTTCTGTGAAATGTTCATGTTCAACAAGAGGATATTGGGCCTGGCTGATGGTGACAGGCCAGCTCCTCAATGTCAGGAGGTAATTTTTTTTTCATTCCCATTTTTAAATTATTATTATTTTTTACTATACTAATTTAAGGCTATTAATTTATTTTTTAAACCCTATTGCTTATATTCCACACATTTTGATATGTAGTTTATTCATTAACCCTTCTAAATGTTTTCTGACTTCCAGTGAAACTCATGGTTGAGTTATTCTTAAATTTATACAGCACTATTTATCTCTTGTTATTACTTTTTATCTTCAGTATGTTGGAACTTTGTTTAGTATTAGTTTGAGATGTAATTTTTCATTTTGATATTACCAAACATTTTGTGGCCTGATGTTTTTAATATACATACTGTAAATAGAAGATAGCTGGATTTTACTGATATTCTAAGAATCATTGTCTTTTATCTGGAGTGTTTATATCCATGTGATTATTGATATTCATGGATTTATTTATAATTAGCATGTACTTTCTGTCTATACCTCTTTTAACTATTAATATATTCCTTTTCAACTTCTGTTTTGAATTATTTTGAGATGATTAATGCCTCCCTTCCTTTTACTAGAAGCAATGCATCCTATTTCTATTATTTCAGGGCTTATTAGAGAAAAATGAAAAGTGATTATTACTCTTTTATACAACCACTATTTGTATATTTATTCATATGTTTATGTTTTTCTTTCTGTACCATCAAACTGCTCAAGCCTTTATTCTGTGCTCATTTTTTTCTGCCTTAAGTGCATCTTTAATATTTTCTCAATTTTTGTTTGCCTAAAATGTCTTTTTATGACATTCATTCTTGCAACGTAAGTTGGCTGTACATACAGTCCTAGGTTTACAGCATTTTGAATATATTATTCTACTTAACTCTTTTTACTACTTCTGTTTTCTCAATGAAATAGAAAGCAGAATCAATAGATGAGAAAAAAGATGGGGAAAGAAGTCTTGGAGGCTGGATAAGAGAAAAGGAGGTATAAAAATAGTCATCTAGAAGAGTGAAAGAGTAAAGGGTATGGAGAGGGGAAATTTTGTACCATTGCTAGACAGCTCTAATGGCCTTCTTGAAAGTAATGGCTGTTCACGTTCTGTAAGAAACCTGCTTTACCCCAGCTCTGTTCAGCTGCACACATGCAAGTGTAGAAAAAAATGGAAAGCTAGATTAGCCAGATTGTGTTTTCCCCAGGAGTGAGTGAGATGACAGAAGAAAAAAAAAATAAGAGATAAGGTTGCATGCAAGGGACTGATTATAGAGGGTAAAGTGGCTATGAGAATATGAGGCTTAGGAAACACTGTAAAAGGGATTTTAAATCGTGGCATCCAAGATTGTTGGAATTGAGGTACTAGCTGGTAAGATAAACTAAATAAACTAGTTTTTGTCATTTTCAAAATTGCCTCATGAGCAAAGAAGGCTAGTAGAGCTGAAATCATCATTGCTGCATTCCAGGAAGCTGGAAGGAAGGAGAGAAGAGCAACATCCCAGATGATGTTCTCTTCTGAAAAGAGCCTGTTAATCAACAACTTCCACTTTCTTGAGGTATAATTTGTAGAAAAGAAGAATTTCTGGAATTACTTGAGATTTTAAAAACATCAAAGCAGAGACCTCCACAGATTCAGATTTCCGTGGCCTGGGGGGAGGGTAAAATGGGTAACCAGCATCTGCATTTTTAAAATGCTCACCCTCCAGGGGATTCCACTATGTAGTGGAGGGAAATCCACTGCATTAGGCATATAATAGTACAATCAGTTACAGTTGTTTCTTGTTTTCTGCAGTAATTATGTCATATAACATTGTTGCAAACACTGAATTAGTGAACAATACCCTATTGCTCCTGGGGAAATAAAGGGTTAGGGTGGTGGAAGCCTTTGGTCACTAAATTTTTATCAGTCAATAACCTTGGTTCATGAGTGTTTCTGTTTAAGGACACCTTATATAATAAATATTGTTGATTGGTTTTTGACATTGAACTCACAGCCAACAGCACTGTAACTCATACCTGAATGAAGCTTATCTAACACTTGTATTTTCTTTGTAAGGCATATCATAGCCTTCTTTAGTCTAGGAACACTATTAGCCCTGCAACACTACACTTTGGGGCCAATTTAAACAGCAAACTCACCAACAAAAATCACACAAAAAAGTGTGAAAAACGTGGCATTAAATAAGCCCTTAAGAATGCACTTGTTTATAGCATGAAAGTGGAAACAAACAGGCAAAGCACTACCTTGTTCAACCTCAGTTGGGAATGTGCTCTCTCTCCAGGTAACTTAAATTTTTTGCCACTCTGCATATATCTGCAAATGACCATTGACAGTGATTATTGATTTTTGAGGGAACATACCTTTTAGCAAGAAGTCAAACTTACAAATGCAAATCTGCACATAATGAGGATCAACTGTTTGTGAAGTTCTTTCCTTTCCATATGTAGCTCTGGTTTTTTCAGAGATCTCTGCTTGAACAACAGCTCCTGCAACAGCTCCCACAGGTCTGTTTCTGTGCACTTGTGCTCTCTCTGTCCCACTTTAACAAGAATTGTTCTTTTTCAACCATTTGCAAAAAGTTTTGTTTTAATCTTACCCTTTCGCTCATTTTCAGCACTTTTTAAAGTGATATTCTTTGCTCTCATTATAGTACAGTATTGTGGAAGGAGAAAAATTAGAAAAGTCCTTTTTTTGTATTAAAAAATAGGTATGTTTTGAAGAATGTCTTTAAAAATACAGAGAAATATGAGGGGCACCACAAAAGCCCTCTCTGAGAAATATCTACTAGCATTTTTCTTAATGTTCTTTCACTTTTAGGTTTAGAAAGTTACATTAATAGATAAAGTGATCTGAATTGAGATTAAAAGTATAATTTACTTTTCAATAATAAGGTAAATGTAGATCCAATAATATTCTCACACAACTGTTGACCTAATTGCTAATTTATTTGGATATATTTCAAGTTTATTCTTAACAATAGCTTTCTAAAGTACCTTATAGTATCTCCAATTCAATAATTAATGGGTGAAACATACACATTAAGAGCTAATCTTATTTTTCTCACATACCCTAAAATATATTTCAGTGGATTTATGCCATAAATGTAATCACAGACATTTCAGATTACTATGAGGAAATAATTGCTTGAATAATATTGAGGGTAAAAGAGGTAGGACTAACTAATCATTAGACCAAAGCCAGGAACCGCATAAGAAAATATTGAAATGTTAACATACATATTTTTATATCTTCTCTGTATCCAAAAAACAAAAACAATAATAGTAACGGCATTAAAAAAGAGCACCAAATTAGAAAACACAATTGTACTATAAACTGGTGAAGATTTAATATTTTTAATATAGAAAAGGGTTTATAAGGCCAGGCACGGTGGCCCATGCCTGTAATCCCAGCACTTTGGGAGGCCAGGCGGGCGGATCACCTGAGGTCAGGAGTTCGAGACCAGCCTGGCCAACATGGTGAAACCGTCTCTACTAAAAATATAAAAAATTATCTGGGCGTGGTGGCGGACGCCTGTAATGCCAGCTACTCGGGAGGCTGAGGCAAGAGAATCACTTGAACCCGGGAGGTGGAGGTTGCTGTGAGCCGAGATTGTGCAACTGCACTCCAGCCTCTGCAACAAGAGTGAAACTCCATCTCAAACAAACAAACAAAAAGAAAAGGGTTTATAAATCTTTAAGTAAAAAAAATTTTCAACCTAAAAAGAGAGAAATCAAAGTGATAAAATATGTTTAAAACAATCTGTTTTACCAGTTCAGGTATGCGTGCTGTTACTTATCTTCCATTTTATAATTATTTCTACTTAAGGTCTTCCTCATGCTACTAAATAAATGGGGGAGAAAGACATACAGGAAAAAAAAAAGTCTAAAATTTCTTGGAATTTAATCAAAAGTTTTCAGGACTAATTCCAAACACACAATGAAAAACAACCTAAAATCCCATGTGGCCAAAACTTTCACTGCTTCTCACTGGTATAAAGTATCACTATAGAGGACTGGTTCTGCTTACCTAAACAAATGACAATTGTGTGTGAGGGCCAAAATTGCACGCTTATACCATTTTGTGCAGTTGACATTGGTGGCTCATGCCAAAAGGCCAGTTCATTTTAGTTCATCTTTTTGCTTAGTTTGTTGTTTTTTTAAAAGGACAACCTAGTGGATCACTGTTACTAGATCTAGAAGAGCTGCCTACATTAGGTATATATTACACGGAAATCAGCCATCATCCCATACCCCTAACCCCTTAAAAACCATTAGGAACTTCTATTGAACTTAAATTACCAGCCTAAAATTTCCTTTAAAGATAATTTTATTTCGGTGTTTTCTTGTTCTTTCCTACACACTGAAATTGCTTTGGCATCATGCTTTCCAACTTTCAAGGCCTCTCTACATTCAACTTTCGAAAAAAAAGGTGGGGGGGATTGGTTAAAAGTCACTTCAGTTTCAAAAATGTCCTGGTCTCCTTCAGTGATCAGTGGTCATCACAGTGACCAGCTTGGCATCTCAAGCCATAGGTGAAGGATTCATTTTTCTCAACCCTCAAAACATTTCTTGTCTCAAACCAAGAGGCACCAACTTATGTTAAAACTAAGGTTACAGTAAAGCTGTGTTTCTTTTGTTTGTTTATTGCTTTAGACAGTAGGGGAGAAGTGACATGGCCAGAGAATAGCTAGACCTAGCCCCTGGCCAAACTAAAAGTCAAAAATAAGCACTTAACACCATACTTAGAAAAAGCACTGTCATTTGTTTCTGTTTGTTTTTAAGGTTTTATGAATGAAAAAGTGTAGTATATCAAAATGTAGGTTATCAGCTATTGTCATTCTTGATTTCATATTCTATGTTTTGGATAGAATTATTCTACTATCCTAGCTTTCCATTTAGGATGATGGCAATGACCATGAAAATGATGGGAGTGAATACTCTTCAAGTACATCCTGTTTACTTCTGAGTGTTCTGTTTCAGATGCTTTTAAGAAGGGCACACTGTGACAGACCTACACATGGCTAGCGCTGACCACTCTCAGCCTCTTACATTCTCTGTTTTCTTCAGGAGCTAAAGCAGGCCCACATGTCTAGTTCCTTGAATAGTTCACCAGAAGAGGGACATTCTTTCTCATTGTGATATTTACTTTAAATCTGGCTCAGTAGAAGTGATGATGTTTAGGATTTGGATTTCAAAACCCAAGAAAGTTTCCTTAACTTTCCAATAGATTTGCCTGAGGTCTTATAGTGAGGAACCAAGAAAAACTCCAAAGGTACTTATTTCACAAGGCACTCATTGTTTTCTTCATTTTACACTTCCATTTACCTCTAAATTAAAGAAAGGTAAAAGAGAGGAAGAATAAAATGGGTGCATTCTCAGTCAGCTTCTGGGTTGTTAGTAAATCGGCCTCATTAGAAAATCCAAGCGCTTTACAGCCAGAAATAGAAATAGAATTAGGAAATCATTGGTATGTAGTTGATGGGTTAAACCAGTACTGGAATGCTATCACTCAATTATAGATAGCATGGAACAAATTATAAATAAGGTATAAATTCTGGGAATGCTAATATTTAAGGGGAAGTCAGAATTTTAAAAAGGTGACTGAGGAGAAGCAATGCTTTAACTGCATCCTGTAAGTTTTGATGTATGATATTTTCACTGTTCAGATTATTTTCTCTTTTATTATTATTTTTATGCATGCTTTAAATTTATCACTCTTAATTTCCAAATACATAGGGATTAGTAGTTATGTTTATTTGCTAGCACTGTTATAAAATATTGTGTGTTATTTTAATACTTGGAGATTTTTTGAAACTCACTTTATGGTTCTGCATATGGTCAATAATTGGAAATGATTTATGTGTCCTTGAAAACAAAGCGCGTTCTGAAATGTTTGGGCATAGTGTTTTCTATATGTCCATTAATAAGTCACATTGTTTAAATTGTGTAAGTCATCAACAACACATGTGTGGGTGTACACACACAACGCTTTAACTCTGAGAGATGCTTTAAAATCTACTAAGATGGCTTTGTTTCTTAGTTTTATCAATTTTTGTTCTATGTATATTTCTGCTATTAAATTTACTTCTCTCATTCATATAGGCTAAATACCTATGAGTAGAATGTCAGGGTTGTGTGTTATGTGTGTGTTGGATTTTTAACATTCATTTTTATTAATTTTAACCTAAAAGCGCACATGACGGTGTTGTTAATTCGAGGTAGATCATATCGTATATGTCACTGTAAGTAATAAGTGTGCTCCTCCCTTTGCCTTTGTCCTTACCCTTCGAACAGTGTAAAAAGAAGTAGGCCAGTTGTCCTATACAAGTAGCTGGACAGCTCCATAGCTAGGAATAAAGAAAAATAATAATTTTTCTCTACTTATAAAGGGGGAGGAGGCAGCTGTATCCCACCCCTCCTGAAAGGGACTCCTTACTCCAGCCTTTCAGTATGAATGTATATGAAATCTGTCTCACAGCCAGCTAGCCACTTGTGACCCAGTTTTTATGGAGATGTGTCCAAGTTCCTGGAGCTGATTCGCCTTTGATATGTAAATACCTAGGAAAGTAGCTGCTATTATATTTTGTTGTATCTTGGAGTCTTAACCCGGAACCTAATACAACTGTAACCATTTTACCTAGAAGTTTGAATATCTCATTGGTCAGATTGGTCAGAACAATTAAGAAGACAAATGGCTACAGATCTAATTGAGATCTCTAATGGTTTGTGAAAATATTTCTAGGAGGCAAGGGCTTTTCACAGAAACAGTGAAAAATCTAGGCAAGTTTTATTTCCATCTATGTATGTTTAACTTCTTAAGAAACTGAAAAGCAGTTTTCAAAAGTTTTTATACCATTTTACATTTCAACCAGCAGAGTATGAGAGTTCTAATTTCTCCAAATCCTTCCTGGTAATTGATGGCAATCATACTTTGCGAATACAGGAATTTTCACATTAAATTTTTTTTTAAGTACTGACTTGGCTTTACCTCACAAATTTTTATATATCTCATTTTTATTTCATTCAATTGAATATATATTTGTATCTACCTTATGATATATTATTCAACTATAGGATATGTACAACTGCATGTTGTTTTAAAACATTTAAGAGTTTTCTCTTCTATCCTTTTATTAATTTTTTAGTTTATCGTGGTTAAGAAGATGCTTTCTGTGATTTCAATTACTGAGCATTCTTTGATGCCCAGAATATGGTCTATAAATGTACCATACCATGATAAATGTACACAAGCACTTAGAAAGAATGAATATACTGATATTTTTATGTGTAGCACTTTATAATTTTCATTTAGGCCAAGCCAGGTGACAATGTGTATATCATTTTTAATTTTCCTTCAACTGGGAGATTTTCTTTAAAATTTCTGTAGTACAGGTCTGCTGACAAAACATTTTTTCCCTCTCACACAAATAGATGCACTCTCTAGGAAGCATTTAGAATGCATATACTGATATTTTTATGTGTCGCACTTTATAATTTTCGATTAGGTCAAGCTAGCTGACAATGTGTGTATCATTATTAATTTTCCTTCAACTAGAGGATTTCCTTTAAAATTTCTGTAGTACAGATCTCCTGACAAGACATTATTTCCCTCTCACACTAATAGACACACTCTCTCATTGGAAAATATTTTCATTTTGCTTTAAATTTCTGAAAGATATTTTCACTGGCAATGGAAATCTTAGGTTGAAAATATTCTAAACTTTTGAAATATTACACGGTCTTCTGGTTTTTATTGTTTTTGATGAAAGTCAGCAGACATTAATATTATTGCTCCCATGTACGTAAAGTGTTCTTTTTCTATTTCTACTTTGAAGACTTTCTCTTAAGGTTTGAATCAATGGTTTGATTATGATGTGTCTAGGTGTGATTTTCTTTGTATTTATTCTGCTGTTGTTAGAACCCCCAAATTTGGGTTTGAATATCCAGTGTGGAGTAAGCCAAACAATAATACATCAGTGGATAGGAGAAGAGGAAGGTTTATTTGATTTGGCCGAAGTGTGAAAGTGGGAGAGGCAAACTCTGAAGTCCGACCTGCTTTTGAACATAACTGGGTGATTTCATGAATAAGGAAGGTGTGTGTGAGGTGAGAACCTTCCGTGATCAAAGCTGTTTGCCTCCCTCCTCAGATAGAACTTCTAGATGCCATTAAAGAGCTCTGTATGACCTAAGGATTATTGTTCTTTAAAAGAAAAACAAGTTTATTAACCTTTCAGGCAACCCCAGGTGGTTAGAATATGAAGTTAATCAATTATTAGTGACTACTGTCTACTGAAATAACTACAGGCAAGCAATCATGCATGGAGGAAGAAAAGGACAAAGAGAAGTTAACCACCTTATGATTTTTATAATATAGGATCAGTTACACTAAGATTGATGATCTTCTTAAATTTGTAAACTTTATGCCCTTCATCAACTTGGGAAAATTTTTGTCCATTAATTCTTCAAATATATTTCTGCTCCATATTTTCCCTCCCTTTCTTCTAGAATGGTATTTATATGATGTTTAACCTTTTGTTTTAGAAGGTTAACATGGCTAAACACAAACTGCAAACTGAGTCCCCTACTGTTGACAGCAATTGAGATATGTTTTCAGATCTTTTAGCTTTATAAGTAGTGCTTGGAATCTGTTGCATGCACATGTAATTCTTGGATGTGCCAGAGATTGACTTAGAGTTTATGTGCAGAATTTGGTTTTCTTTTTTCTATGCTTTCCCCCCTTTTTAAATTTTGTAACTTCAGTGGTAGTCCTGACATCTGTCTTCTCATTCTTTAAAAGAGTAAGATTCCAGGTTTCTAACTATTTTAGCTGCTCCATGTTAAGCCAACTTGCTGAGAAGCCCACAAAAGTTTTCAAAGATAAAATATTTCTTAAGTCGGATGATGAGGAAACACTCTCTGTGTGTTGATTTTCCATTTTTTTGTGTGTATGTATTTATTAATGTGTATATCTTTATACAAAGGAATTTTCAATTTATTAGACAATAGTAGATAACAGACAATCTACAAGAAGAAAGAACTTTTGTCATCAACTAGTCTGGGTATGCAGAAAATTATACCTAGATAACATAAGTGACCTTTCTTACTGGCACATTGTTAATGACAAAATTAGTATGGGAAAACCTCCTGAAAGTTACTCCAAAGCCCACTATTGAACAAAAAGACATGAATATCTTAAATGATCTTGGATTTATTTTATATTACATTATTTTATTTTAGACAATAATTTTGTGTTTAAAGTTTAGATATTTCTTGAACATAAGAGCTTAGTACTACAAAATGATAGGCATTCATTATGAATTGGAATATTGGAAATCTACAATTTATAGTCAGACGTAGAAAAACAAGTTGTCTATTCTGTCAAAATTTATTCTCACTAGTAACAAACTCAAAAAAATGTTTCTTTATCATTATTTCTCAAGTTTCTTGAAACGACAGGGTTGTCTTACTAGCAGTGCCCCCTGGATATTATTCATCAGTTTTTTATTTGACTGCACTCCTGTGATACTTCAATAACCTTGAAATAAAACTCAGATCCCAAGATACACTTCTTACCAACCTCTTCCAAACAGAGAAAACCTGCAGATAAAAGAAAATAAAAACTCCCAAAGACACTTTGGAAGGTTTTTGATATGCTAATGTACCTATTCACAGCTTTTAGAGACCATTCAGCATAGAGACTCATACCCATTCAAACAGACTCCAGTTAAACAAGCATCCTTGAAATTACTGTCACTATCAGTAAAGAACTGGGACACTTAATGTAAAAGAGGAGGATGGATCCCAGTTCTCATCATTAGTTTTGCCCTTGTTTTCTAGTTATTTTTTATCTTTCATAGAAATATAAAAGTAATCCTCAAACTGAATAACAGGGGCTTCATGATGTGTGCATTTGTTCCTCAGCACAGGTCATTATTGATCAAATTATATTTTGTTTGAATTGTCCATATAGATAAAGCTTGGTTACTTGATGTTGGTGATTTTGATATCCCTTATGGTCATTGAAACAATCACTTTTATAAGGCATGGTAGTTATGCAGTTTACTTTTCAGATAGCGATACAAGAGACTATTAAAACCAGATTGACCTTTTGCAACAAGTGGCAAAAATATTCGTTTTTTCTCAATGAAATAAATTGATTTTATACTAAAAGTTAAGAATTTTTGGAAAAATGAATATTTGAGAAAGCATTAGGGTAAACCTTTTCTAGTTAGAATTGTCTAATTACTTTGGAAACTTGTCCTTGACATGAGTATAGGATAAGGCTTTCTAATTTTGACAAAATTTACATGCTTGGGTTTCACTCCTGGTAAGGGACAAGTTAGCTTCCATTAGATCAACTTCCCACAGATAGTAGCTATAAACTCTAGAGAAAATACAAAAATGAACAACTACCGGAAGTCACTGGGGAATGATCAAAAGTTAGCAGAAACTGGCAAGTAAACCACCAGTGGTAAAAGGGAATGGCGGGAGTGATTTTCTCATTTTCATCGCTTCTAGCCTGAGGCCAGCCCTTGTCTGCACCACACATGGAAGCAAAAAGAATACATAAAAATTAAAAAAAAATAAATCTTCACTGGGAAGTGAAAGAGGAAACAGGAAAAGGAGAGTACCAGGGATTAGAGGCACAAATTATCTGCATTTACTCTGCCTGTCAGGCTGACCACAAATGCTGAAGACACAGTCTTAGTAGGCAACATAAGAATAGAATAACTGAACTAAGATTTGGCCTGCTACTTAAGACCATAATTGCAATTTGAGAAAAACCCAATAAAAGAAAATCTGGACACATTTGACTGCATAAAACTTTAAGAAGAGAGTAATTGAATAGGGAAAAACACCAAAACAAAGTCAAGAGACAAATGGAAAATAGAAGAATATATACCACTGTATAACTGATAAAGGACTGATACCTTAATAATAGGAAACTCATGAGAGGAAAAGTCACATAAGGCTCATGACAATGATTAAAAAAACAAAGACAATCTACCAAAAACATATGTAAAACCTCTTTGAGCATATGGAAAGATGTTTAGCCTCTCTGATAATCAAAAGATGCACATAAAAACCATCATATTATCAGAATAGCAAAAATTAAGATGCATAATAATACACTCTGCTAACAAGAGTATTAATATACTTTGCTTGTAAGAGTATGTCGAAACAATAACTTTCTTACATATTTAGTAGGAATGCAAACTGGTAAAATCCTTAATGAGGGAATCTGGAAATATCTCAAAAACAAACAAACAAAAAATCACACAAAAAAACTAGATATATGTTAACCTTTTCATCTACAGTCCAAATTCTAGGAATTTACTCTGAAGATCCAACTCATTCAGTACAACAGTATATATATATTTTATAAGTATTTCATACATTGATGTTTTATTTAATATCAGATATTTCATAAATATTTCATTTTCTATATTATTTAAAAATAAAATCGAACAAATACCTATGCATACATTTGAGGACAGACTTAAGTGAAGGACAATAGCCCTCAAAAATAAGCTTCTAGTTGTGATTCTGTCTTCTCTTTATAACATGACTAGCATTTATTTTTTTCAGCAGAATAATCACACTATGAATTATTTCCTATTGAAAAATCTCCTTTTCCTAAAACTTCATTTGAACACCATTGTTTCTACATACTTCTCTTTGTTTTCATGCAACTCTTCTTTAGAGGCAATGTGGACTTTAGATCTCTGGGAAAGGGCATACCGGAGGATTTTACTGGCCTTTGTGACAGATAAGTGTTGTCAGAATATTTGGTGGCTGTGTGTCAGGGGCTTGGGCCTCTCTGTTATGCAATTGTGTCACTCTGAGGCTCTCTACTTGAGGGAATGTTTGTTTCCATTTTTAATCAACCTGGGACAAGGCGAATCCTGCCTCTCAAAGGGTTGTAGAAAATACTTCCTTGGTCTGTTGGGCCATGGAGTACCTCTGAAGATGTCTGCACATTCCTTAAGCAGCTGGCTCTGAGGAAGGTCTCAGCTTTAAGACACTGAGGCTGGTTTCCTTTTCTTTTCCCACAAACCTTCAGTATAATCTTGTTAAAGTTCTGTCCAGGGTACCGTTGTGCTTTGAGGAACGAAGGGGGACCTGCCTGTGTTCCAAAGGTGGAGTAGTCGTGTGCTCTGCCTGAAGATGAAGCAGGGGTGTCTCAGTGGTCAGCATGCGACAGACAGTGTCCCTAGCACAGCGGCAATCCCTAAAGTGGTCAGCAGCGGATGCAGCACTGAGGCAGTCAGGTGAAGATGCAGGCTAGGAAGGGGGTGAGGGATGAGTAAGGAGAACACATGAAACCACTGTCAGGAATTTGAGGAATTTACTGGGAGTAATTTAGGGCACTTTTGCCACCATATCCAAATACAGCCAATAATATGGATATTAAAATGGAGTGCAATATTACTGTCATTTTCATTTTAGAAATGTGGAAATGGAGGCATCAGGCACATTACTTGGAGTTGCCTACTACATACTCCAAATTTCTTTAAAACCTCATTGTAAGATGAAGTAAATGTCATACACTATTCCATAATATAGACAGCTGCATTTTAATAGTAAGCTATTATGATTAATATCAACATGGTCATGAAACAATTTCTCCTCAAACATTTTTAGTTAAACTTGAGAAGCTGAAAAAGGAAGGCTGCTTCTTGTGTGGCTTTCTATGCTGCCTGCTTCCCTTTCAAACATAGATTCAAACTGCTGCCTACCTACTTGGAAAGTGTTTAGTGTAGTTTTTTTTGTTTCTTCAAAGAAAAGGGAAGGCAAAAGGAAAAGAGAAAAGGGAAAGAAATCCAGAGAAAAGAATGGGGGGAACTTAGCTTCTCAGGGGTAAAGACAGACAGACTTCAATCCCAACATCAGGGAGAGTAGGGGAAACCAACTTGGCCCAGAGCTGTCACTCTCGCTCTCCTCTTGCTTGAACAGCTGCCAATACCCAGAGTCAGCCTGTCCTGTTGCCCACTGAGCTTCAGGCTTGCAGAGAAATACTCACATCTGTGCCAAAAACCTTTTGCCCAGCTCTGACACTTCCGCTTTGAATCCCATGGCTCTTCTTGATTGTACCACTGAAGGTCCAGGACACAAAAAGCCCTCAGGTCATTTGATTTAGGATTTGAACAATGGAGAGATGATCATGATCAGAAGAAAAATTCTTTATACTTCACAAAGGCAGAAATAAAAATCCAGTTTGAAATTGACTTTTGAGCCTGGAGAATAATGGGAAACTTCACCCATGTTAACTTGTCTTTTGCAAACAAAGTGTCTTTCTGTGTTAGAATTTTCAAGAGCCTAATTCTGCTAATCATAATGTATTTGCACATGCAATTAAAATTTCCAAATTTTTCTTTTTTAAGGAACTACTCCAAAAAGCTTTCCTTTTCTTTGAGAGTACACCACTGAGTTTTGTAAAGTACCAGACTTTTGCTTGAGTTCCATAAAATGTTGTCTGAGCTTCTACACAGCATGACAGATGATCAAAACCACTTTTTCCCTGGATTTTGTGTCTGTTCAGTTAGTTATCACTCCTAGCTTACTGCCGTCTACAAATCTTAAAAACATGCCCTTTATCTCTCTTCCTCCTGGTTATTAATTAAAATTTTAACAAGACAGGGCTAAGAGCCAACCCACTATAGGGCTTTATTAAAGACTACTGTACTTTGCAGTTTGATGTTTATTAACATTCTTTGGGCACCTAGCTACAATATAACTCAATTTTCTGTGAAAAACTATTAATCATCCTATTTTTTCCTTGTCTTTAATATGAGATAAATTTTATACCACTGTTTCTCAAACCATCTGTTGTGAGGGACAGTTTTGCTTTTTAATTTCCAATTGTCAGAGACCAATACTTTTGTAAAATATAATTAAAAACAAACATAAAAATAAACTTATTAGAAAAATGAAATAAAAGAGAAATGAAATAAGAATAATTTTATTATTAGATTTAACAGATCAAATATTATTTCAATACTCAGATCAAATGTGCAATAAGACAGGGTTGCAAAAAATGCACACTTTTTTTATTAAAATCATTTATATAAGTAATTTATATAAAAATAATATTACAGTTGCAACTTTCTGTTGTTTCTCAACTATGACCAAACAGAGGTTACAAGTAAAGTAGCAATCCCAATACTAAACTGCTATATGTGCATTTTGAATCAATCATGTGTATGTCAATGAAGTTTTTAATGTGACAGATTTGCATTTTGGTTGTTAATTTATATAATCTAGGTTGGATAAATGACAATGCCAATCATAGGGGATAATGTTGATCCTAAATGTTAGTGTGTTGATTTCATAACACTCAATGGAGAAGCCAGTCTCAGAGAGGCATGGTGCTAGACTGGAAGACAAGAATTTGAAATAATTACAGTAAGCTGATGGAATTCACTTTTATCTATTTTTATAAAGCAAGTGATTTTGTATTTTTAAAATTTATCTTCAATTCTTCATCAATAGCTACTTTTAATCATTAACCTTATAAATTTAATTCTATTTCAATTATATTTTAATAGAAAGAATGGATTTCATGTTTTTTCTGGTGTGGATCTTTGATAAGAAAATAAAATTCAAAATATTCTGTTAAATTTGGAGGTGTCTGGTGATAATTTTTCACAGATGTATAATATCAAGATCCCATTGAAGTGTGTGTGTGTGTGTGTGTGTGTGTGTCTGTGTGTCTGTCTTCCAGGCATGAAAGTATTAAAATAATTTACTAAAGACATTAGACTTGCTGTTTATTTTATGTATTTTTAAGTTAGGATCAAATCAGTTTCTTATATTACAGAAATTTCTTGCAGAATGGTGCATTCAGTAATTCAAACATTGTCAATAAATCTTATTTTAAAACTAGAATATATACTGCATTTCAGCATGCCATAAGAGTTGTTTATGATGAACTTGCATATTAAAACATAATGAGAATAATATAGGAAGAATAGTACATATTAGTTTTTATGTAGTATCAAAGTTTTACAATGTCACCAAATAAACTGTTTAGTTCAACTGATTTTATTTTTTCATTCATAGTAAGTGTTTCTGATGAGTGAAGCAGTCTGGTGATTAACAATCTGATATGATACAAACTTCTTTATCTGTGTAACATTTCCAGAATGTTTTCTTTCATTAAAATCATGCCATCAGAACACAGTCCTAAAAAATTGAAAATTCAAAACACAAATACAGACTTCGTGATGAAAACACAAGCTTTCATAGTTTTATACAATTTAGAGCTAGTTGAGTTTTTGACAATAACGAAGCTGTAGACACAAATTATTTCTTTATAACACCATCATTTTCATATAACAACATATAAGCAAATACTGGCATTATTAGCAATAACTAATAACTAATACCTAAGACAAAAACTATGCATTTGTGAAGTTCCAAGAAAAAATACTTAGCTAAATTTATGTGTTCTATGAGCTGGTCTTTAGTATTATCTTCATTTCCTGAGTAGAGTGAGCTCTGATGTCTTTTACAGCTCACTAATATTCCATGGTATGGAAGAACCACATTTTACTGGTTGTAGGACATTTGAGTTGTTTTTGGGTTTAGTGATTGTGAATAGAAAAGCTATCAACCTTCATCCACAAAACTTTCTGTGAATAAGAAAGTTCATTTTTCTTGTATAAATACCTGGGACTGAGACTTCTTGATCAGTTGATAAATATATGTTTAATAATTGTGAAAATATTTTTCAAAGGAAATGTACAGTTTTGTTTTCTCGCTACCAATGTATGAGCATCTCAGTTGCTCTGTATCCTGTCAACACTTAGTATTGCCAGTTTTATTTTTAATTTTAGTATTGCCATTCTAATACCTGTATAATGGAATCTTATTGAGGATTGTATTTACATTTCTCTAATAACTAATGATCGAGCATAGATTCATGTGTGATTTGCTGTTTATGTATCTTCTTTGGCAGATGTTTGAAATATTTTGCTGTTGTTTATTTAGTTGATTTCTTACAGTTTTGATAGTTCTTTAAGTATTATGGTTATAATTCTGTGTTCAAATGTGTGTTTTGAAAATACTGTGTTCCAAGCTATGGCTTTACTTTCTATTCTCTTATGTCTTTAAAAGAGTAGAGGTTCTTAGTTTAGATAATATATAATTTTTCTATTTTTTTTTTCTTTTTAAGGTTTTACTTTTAGGTGTATGTTCTATTTTGTGTTAAGTTTTGTACAGGATATGAGGTTTGGATTGAGGTACATGTGTATATGTATATATATGTTATGTATATGTGTATATGTATATATATGTTATATGTGTGTGTGTGTGTGTGTGTGTGTGTGTGTGTGTATGTGTGTGTGTGAGTGTCTCATATTCCAATACTGTGTGTTAGGGATTATTTTTTCTCCATTGAATTAACTTTGCACTTTGTCAAAAATGATTCACCATAAGCATATGGGCTTATTTCTGCACTCTGTATTCTGTTATATTGATTTATATTTCTGCTTTCATTGATGCAACACTGTCTTGATTATTGTAGCTTTAGAGTTAGTATTAAAATTATATCATTTTAATCCTTCAAATTTTTACTTTTTCAAATTTTTTTTAGTTTCTTTGCCTTTCCAAATGAATTTTAAATTTCATGTGAATTTCTCCAAAAAATTCCTGTTGTGATTTAGTTAAAATTGCATCATATTTTCAGATCAATTTAGGGAGAAATGACATAATAACATTCCATTATAAATGGAAATAACTCCATTTACTTAGGTGTTCTCTGATCTCTTTCATCAGTGTTTTATAATTTTTAGCATTCTGACCCTGTACATATTTTTAGATTTATACTTAATAACTTAATGAGTTTTGATATTGTAAATGGTACTTTTAATACAAATTTTTAATCGGCTTTGCTGTTATGTAAAAATGGAGTTGAATATTTGTAGTAGCTTTGTATCATGTGATTTTGCTATACTCAATTATTAGTTATAACACCTTTTTGTGGATTTTGTGGAAATTTCTACATAACTAATTATATCATCTGTGAATAGTGAAATGTGCTTCTTTCCTTCCAAACATTATAAATTTTATTTCCTCCATTATCATGTCCATACTGTAGATAGGTTTGAAATGAGTTTTCTTAAGGTGTATTTTTCTCATAAAGTCTTTATTTCTCCTTTGTTCTTGAGATTTTTTCTGGGCATACTATTTTCAAGACACGATGAGATGCATTGAATAAAGAAAGGTGAATGTTCTATGGTTCTCGTTGAAATATTTCAATGAGGATAATTCAAGAAATGAAATTATATGCTTGATAATACAGTATAACATAATATAGTATCTTATAAAGGCAATGTGAACAAAAGCTATGGGACCACAATGGAGAGATGGATTTAAGTGGATAATCTGAGATTTCTTAAAAGAAAAATCATTTATTTGGAACTAGATCAAAAAAATGAATAAGTTATTTTCTAGTAGAAAAAGTGAGGAATAGCCTTTAGTACTCAGAAAGCTATGTTACAGAAAAAAAGACAAAGGAAAAAATCTTATTCTTTTGAGGAAAAGCACTGAGCAATATAGCTTGAGTGTAGGGTACATGTGTGGGGTGATGGGAGATTAGGACCAAATTGCTGTACTTCTGCCAAATTGTGGAGTTTGGTTTTTAGTCTACATAAAAGGCAAATGATTTAAGGTTTCTAATAAGGGAAAAGACATAGTCAAATATGAACCAAATGAATAAGTACAGCAGCAGCATGTATAAAAACAAGGCATGTGCAATGATTAATTTTATGTATCTACTTGACTGGGTGCCCAGATATTTGGTCAAACATTATTACAGATTTGTCTGTGAAGTGTTTTGGGGTAAGATTAATATTTGAATTGGTAGATGGAATAACACAGATTGTCCTCCATAATATGAATGGCCCTCATCCAATCAGTTGAAGGCCTGAATAGAACAAAAAATCTGAGTAAGCTGGAACTGCCCCTGCCTGACTGCTTTGAGCTGGGACTTTGATCTTTTCCTGCTTTGGGACATGAACTAAAACATCGGCTCTTGGGTTTTTACCCTGCCAGCTTTCGGACTCGAATGTTCACCATTGACTTCCCTGGTTCTCAGGACTTTGGACTTAGGCTGGAACTGCATCATCATCAGCTCTGATGGGTCTCCAGCATGCTGAATGCAGATATTGGGACTTCGCAGCCTCCATAATCATGTGAGCAAATTTCGTATACACACATACTGTTGATTCTGTTTCTCTGAAAATTCCTGACTAGTACAGAGATTTTGGATTAATAGATCACTTAGGTATCCACTGAAATATTACTAGCGGGAAATAGTGCTGATCTGAATGAGAGTGATAGCATATACATATGTCATTTTCTTGTTTGCTCCTCTTCCCTAGTAGCAAAAACTACCCTAAGGAAAGAAGGTTTTTTTTTTGACAATTAAAAAAATAAACTTTAGCATCATTGAAACATTAGAAAATATGTCTGCACAAATGAATAACTTAAAAATATATTATTACTGAAATGGAGATAAACATTGTAACATCTTGGCCTGTGTACTTCTAGAATTTTATCTGTGAGTAATTACCCATACCTCCCCACAAAAGACTATGCATTAGGTCATATAAAATATTTTTGGTAATCTATTTATTTCATATAACAATGTATAATGAACATCTTCTTCTGACACTAAAATATCTATGTCAGCACTTAAATATGCAGAAGTATTTTTTATTCTTCAAGTCCTTGGTACTAAATAACTACTACTCACTCAGTTTCCCCTTCATAGCTTACCGAGAAAGGATCGTAGCAAATCATAGCTTTCAGTAGGTACAGAACATAGAGAAACATTTTTTAATTGCATAATTATACTAAGATAGAAGTTACAAATCTTGGACATTGATAGACATTTACTCATATTAACTTGGCCTGTGTACTTATATAAGCAAAACAAGATAATACCTATCAACACATTTCAGGCAAATTTCTACTTTATCGATAAATCCAAAATGTGATCACCATTAGTACCACCACTTCAAACCATGTAAAGGGATGATTGCAAACTTATGATATTTAGATACTACTTTAGCCAAAGATATTATATTTGGTTTTATATTTTGAATAGTGGTCTGTTGTATCACATGCTGATCTGTCACCAGTCCATAGAAAACCTTTGTGAAATCTAGGAAAAGATGTCCTTTCTGGATGGATAAAGTCCTGCAAAGTGCCTGACTTGACAAGGTGACACTCCTTCCTCCATATGGGGCAGGTATATCCCCATGCCAGCCCCAGTTTAGTAAGTGGACCTCAGGCTGAATTTCTGCTCCTATTCTCCTGTCAAAACTGTATGTGGTGCCCTGAAAGTTGGAAATACTAATGAAAGATTCAAAATAAAATTAGTATTCCCTACTATATTGTCTTAACAAATTAAAAAATATGACTCTGCTAAGAAACATTATTTCAGTATTTCATATGCAGACATTTAAGTTGATTCTCAAACAAACATATCATTAATTTTTTTCAGTCTGTCTCTGCACTTTGAAGAGATAATCTCCAGGGTACAAGCTGTCACAGGGCTGAGTCACTAATGTATTTTGACTTTACGCTAGGAGAAATCACTTCACATCTGGTATTAAAGAGTGTTCGTTTCTTGCTTCTTGTGACAGTTCTTGGCAAAGTTTGTTAAACCATAATGTTTATTTAAACATGTTTTAAAAGATGTGCCCAAATTGCTTTTATGTCCTTGTAGTTTAATCATAACATTATGTGCCACTGAAGACCAGAAGATACATGATTTACACAAATTATCCAATATAAATGGTTGGATGCGATGGCTCACACCTGTAATCCCAGCACTTTGTGGGGCCAAGACAGGAGGATTAATTGAGGCCAGGAGTTTGAGACCAGCCTGGGCAAGATAGCAAGACCCTATCTCTACAAAAAAAAAAAAAAAAAAAGAAGAAAGAAAGAAACTGAGCCAAATGCGGTGGTGCATGCCTGTGGTCTCAAATACTCAGGAGGTTGAGATGGGAAGATTGTTTGATCCCAGGAGGTCAAGGCTGCAGTGAGCTGTGATCCTGTCACTGCATTCCAACCTGGGTAACATAGTGAGACACTGTTTCAAAAATACATAAATATATACAGACATTATTGCCACTTGAATCTAAATCCTTCAATATATGATGTACAATGAGGCTTATATTTGTAGAACTCTCAATAAAATCATACCTAAAAATGATAGGAAGTTTCTACTCATGAATAACTTAAATTCAGGCCAATGTTCACCTGCATGAAAGCAGAGCTCTCCCTTCTATGCTTTTGTAAAAATTGTGATCATCCATGTATGTATAAGGTTATCAAGTTACCATAAACTTAGTAGCTTATAACAACAGAAATTTATTATTTTACATTTATGGAAATCAAAAGTCTGAATGGGTATCATTAGGCTAAAATAAAGGTGTTGTTAGGTCTGTGTTTCTTTCTGCATTCTTTTGCTAAGTCCTCACATTGATTGCCCCATCTCTGTGGGAGAGTTTAGATTGTGTCACAGTTTTGAGGAGGGCAGGATTGCACTTCTCCTTCCCTGCTTACATTATGATCCTGTCGAGGGAACAAAGGATCAGAGATTGAAATGTAAGCTCTATTAGTGAGAAAGCCCAGTTTGGAAGAATGTGACAAAGATGAACTCCCTAATACTTAAGAGTAGATTTTGGCAAAGTTTCCCACCCAGCCCCAAGTGGTGCTGGAAACCGCACATGGAAATCTGTCCTTACAGTACTCTTAACCTGGAGGCATGGATTAGAACACTTAATCTTACTCTCAGGTAAGGCTGATTCCCAAGAAACATCAGGACTGGAGTCTAGACTATTTGGCAGTTCCCCTCTATATTTATCAGCAGGTAACTTTGCCCCCGTGGAAAGAGGTAAGAGGAGAGCAAGTAAAAACCCCTCCTCATGGAAACCACAGCAGTGAGTTAGAAACATTCCTCTCTCTGCTGTCCAACAGACTAGTCATTTTAATAAACATCTAAGAAATTTATTAAAGTCACTTATAAGACCTGGTAATATTATATAGTAGTTTAGCTGTCTCAAAATAAAAATCCCTCCTCATGGAAACCATAGCATTGAGTTGGAAACATTTCTAAATATGTTAGGAAATAGATGGAGCATATGCCATTAAATTGAATTGTAGGAACTAATTATCCAAATAATCTGACCCACCATTTCTCCAAATTTAAATTTCAAACTATTTATTTTGATACAAGCTGCCTTACATATTTTGGAATAAATAAAATCTTGTTTTAAATTATGCAAAATGCTTAAGGGAAGAGTAAAAATAATTATCTGAATATTTATAAATGTGTTAATAACATCATTTTTCTTTATACTAAGATCTATAAATTGCTAAGTATGTTTCCAAAGAAACATGTTATCTATGTTTAAGGTGAGTTTAGAAAGCCTTTTTACTTTAGAATTTACTTTAGAATTATGTGCTCTTCGAGATCAGGGATGGAACTGGGCTAACCATTGTAAAATATATCACCATGCATTCCTTGGGAGCTCTGCAAAAGTTTGCTGAGGTAAAGAAAGACAAGCAGGAAATTATTTCCAGTTGGTTGGAGCCAAACTTCCTAAGTTCAAATCCTGCCACTACAATGTACTAACATTGCATGACTTCTGGCCAGTTACTTAATATTTCTGTGCCTCATTCCCTTCAAGATGTAAAAGGATTATAATAACAGAACCTTCCATAGGGTTGTTGTAAAAGTTAAGTTTAATATGTAAAGCCCATAGAATAGCAGCTGGCAGATTGCAAGCTAGTATAGTAAGTATTCATAATAAAACAAATGGAGACCCAGAGACTTGTCCCATGTCACAGGTTTAGAAAAATCCAGGGCTTCAGCCCAGTATTCTGATTAATTCTGGCTCTGTATTTAATATGCTAAAATTATCTTCACAATATATATTCATGGGATTTAAACATTCCAACTTTAGAGCTAGATGTTCGGGCATGCATGAAGATGTTCCTGTATTGAAATTCTTATGATATCCAGCATTTTGGGGTTATTCATTTTTAAAATACAAACACATAATTTGACTTCTGACACCCTATAACACCTGAGATCTCAGAATTTCTTTTGATTTTCTAGGATTCTCACAGGATTCCACTGGGATTCTTATCTGTTTTTCAGGTTGCAATGTGGCCTCTCTCCTGCCTTCACTTTATCGCTATTGCTAATTTTTCTTGTACACTGCATCCTGATATTTTCCCTCTGCATGATTTGTTTCAAACTTGGACAAAATCTTCTCTCAATTCTCCAAGGAACCATTAATAAAAGATCGTGATGGGATATAATCTTTTCCTAAGTCTCTGAGTGTACTTCGGGAGAATTTTAGAATGGTACAGGTAATAATTTAAAATGAAATATAGGACTCTTTCGTTGGCCCCAGCCTGCTGTCTTTCTCTCCCTAATGTGCCAGGAAGCTCAACACTCTGGTTTCTTTTGCTTGCCAAACAGGGAGCAAAATTAGGTAACCTCAGAACTACCACTTTTCACCATATATCAGTAAAGAAGATAATTATTAATGTCATAAATTCAATTTGCTATTGAAACCATAAGCATAATCATGATAGACAGACTCTTCCCTCTCGAAAATTAATTTTAAAATTTATATTTTTATTGTATATGGATTTTTGTTGTTATTGACCATTTATCTATATAGTTACAGAATAATATGAAGCAATTTTAATATGAGCTAGCCAAACTGTGATAGTGTAGTATGACAAATAGCTTGAAGAAAACTAAGATTTATCAAATGGTGTTTTACAAGGGTGAATTTTTTTTTAATCTGAAAGAAATGTTTATGTACAGCAAAGACTATGTAGAGATGAGAGTTAAACTACCATTGTTTTTTGACACATCATAAAAATGCCTCAATTTGTGTTTAAATTCAACTAAAAAATATCATTAGTCTATTTATTTTACTTTTAACTTAGTAATTATATCCCTTCATACGTTTTAAATTGTACTTTCAAATATAATCAATTTTATTTTTAAATAGTTTAAATTAAAAAAAATTAAGTATAGTAAGTCTTATTAGTTCATTTAAACATTCCAACAATCATTAAAACATTGTCAAGTTGCTGTGATGCCACATTGCTGCCACAACTTAAGGTCATTTACTTAATTAGACATTTTAAAATTGAAATCTTAAGTCCAGTCTTTCAAAATCTCTATAATGATAACGTTTATTAAGCATTGTTGGCCTTTCAATGCCAAATAGATGCAGATTGTTCTAGTGATTAAAACCATATCCCTTACTTTATCATCAAATAATTAAATCAGTGAGTTTATTTGCTTTTATTATCTTTTTACTTAATTACAAATCTTTCCAGGGTTGAAAGACAAATTCAGGAAATAATTTTTGTAATCTCTAGCAAGTTGAAGACGGTTATATGTCTTCTCACAGAAAACTTATTCCCATCTTTTCTCTCCCTGATGTGCCAGGAAGCTCAACCTGAGAACAGTTTATATTCAGGGTGATTTGACTTGCATTATAGATAAACTGTGCTACCTAATAAGTCAGTGTGAATATGAAACTGTAAGTTAAAACTATACTTACAAAATATATAAAGTACACTATGGTGTACATATGTATTATCTACCATAAACTTACAGGTTCAAGTTGTACTTTTATTCAATTATTTTCTCTCCATGGGTTGGAGAATTTCCACACCTTTCCTGTCCCCAGCGTGTGCACACACACACACATGCACACACACCACAAACATACACACTGCGGCTAACCTGCTTCTATAATCTCCTTATTATAATTGAATTGTATATTAATAGAATATTATTTGGATCTAGCCAGACAAAAATTCACGTAGACATTTTTATGCAATCTGAATGGTTCTGCCTATTTCAGGTCTTTTGCTGGCTGTGCAGGTCTCATGGCACTAAAGTCATGTTCATGGAACATTTATGTGCATAACGTCTTGCTTACATTAAATGATTTAAACTTCCTAAATTCAGCAAGGCATTCTGTTTTCAAAAAGTAGGAGAGTGCCTCAAAAATCTAAATAACTTATACTAAGTCATAAAGCTGGTGAGTGGCAGGCTCAATCAAGCTGATCTCATACCACAGTCAAGTTTCCATTCACTACAATATGGGGCTTTATTTTTTTAAATAACCATCATTACAATATTTATTGAAACTCTGTATACCAGGAATAGATTTCAGGGAAGACTTAAGGGATTCATAGTCTGGTGGGAAGTCTTGTGGGTAAACTGGGAGTTATTATACTACAGTATCTATGAGAGCAGAAAGACCGTGGTTAACATGGAAGAGCTGTGCATTTCATGTTACTGTAGGTAATTTTAGAGAACCGTGTAGAGGAAATACACGGTATTAAAATTTAGGAATGTCTGACTCCTAAGGCCCACAGTTGGGCCTATTTGTAGTGTGACTTGGGACAAGTCACTTAACCATTCTGAGCCATAGTTTCCTCATCTGTAAAATGGCAATACTAATATCTACCTTGCATTTTTATTCTAAATATGGCTGATACAAAGAACACATTAAATAGTGCTTTTCCATGTGTTGGAAAAATTATTTACAATTTATTTCAATGAAGTTCACTAATAAATTATTTCTTTTTCAATATATATATTCACTTTTATATATAGTTTAATAAGGCAATAGCTATTAATATACACATTGAAATAATTTCACCAATACTAGTTTTTTTACAATGACAGGTTTTCTTACAATGACAGATTTTCTTAAAATGACAGGATTCCTATACATATATTTGGAGAAATTATTGAGCAAGGCCAATCTAAATTACTTAGAAAGTTAAAAAATAAAATATGTAAATTAAGCTTAATAATATTACTCTGAAATACAGAATACTTAAAACTTTGAAAAATTTAGTGTTTATTCTATGACCAAGTCACTTTCTCACATCCAATGAACCTATTCTCTCTCTCTCTTCCATAAAAATTTCTCTGGTACTTTCATTAGTCCTTTTCGGAACTTTTAAAAATTTAGTGTAGCTAGTATTCTAGTTCTCAATCAAATGCATGTTACACATCAAGCTACCATAATGTACTGGTTTTTTTTTTTTTATTGTGTTTTGTTTGTCTAAGGCAGGTCTTCAAAAGCATGATAATTTTCATCAAGGATAATTATGATCCTAAATGAAAACCTCGTGGTTTTCTTGGGTCCTTTATCAATAGCAGGGCGGTTTTGACGGAAACACAGAAAATAGCTTCTCTCAGGCCAATTGTCTTTATGCAAATGTGCTTTAGAGGAATCTACAGTTCAATTTTTCCAGCTTAATCTACTCAGTAGTTGTGCATGTCCTCCAAAAGTTTCTTTTATCAATAGAGCAGCACCATGAGGTACCACACAACAGTGAAATCGAAGTACATAGAGCACATGCAAGGATGCACGCCCCTCATCCCCACATATTCACACCCGCTTTCCTCTGATGTCTGAAGTAATATTGTAAAGGGAAAAGTGATAATCATAGCAGTAATTTGAACTAGGTTAAGCAATTTTGATGTTTGATGAAGAAATCTGTAATGAGGATTTTACATCACCAGTATAATCAGTGTTTGCTTATGTTAAAATTGTATGTCCTAAATGTTAAATTTATATAGTTCTTAAAAATTCTTAACTTAGTATGTTTTATTAGCTCAGTAAGTACCTCTCATTTATTGGTGGCAGTAAGTTAAATTTTGGCTCATTAGGGATTGTATTGTATCACATTCTGAAGAAGCTAAGTCTCAGCTAATGGAATTTTTTAGTATAATTAAAATGCTGTTTGGCACAGTCACATACATAATTATCCAGTATGTAACTATATTTTAGTGTGATAGTCTTTGTAACAATGAAATAAATATATTTCAATTCTCTTTATTTAACTTATATCAAGTAACCCCCAAAATGGTTATATTTCTCTTGAACTTTTAACTATCATTTGTCCAGGTTAATTCTTAATTTTTGCACATTTTTGGTTGAGCAACTGAGATAAAATCAAATGTATTAGTAACTATTCATTAATTTTAATTTTTTTTTTCTTTGATACGGAGTCCCACTCTGTCTCCCAGGCTGGAGTGCAATGGTGCGATCTCGGCTCACTGCAACTTCCGCCTCCCAGGTTCAAGCGATTCTCCTGCCTCAGCCTCTTGAGTAGCTGGGATTACAGGTGCGTGCCACCACGCCCAGCTAATTTTTGTATTTTTAGTGGAGATGGGGTTTCACCTTGTTGGTCAGGCTGGTCTCGAATTCCTGACCTCGTGATCCGCCCGCCTCAGCCTCCTAAAGTGCTGGGATTGCAGGTGTGAGCCACTATGCCTGGCCATAACAATTTATTATGAATGAAAGATTAGACTTTAGTTAAGGTATATTCTTGAGACTCTAAAGCAATGGAATTCCTCAAGTTGAAGAGATGCATATCTGTGCATCTGCATATGTTCTAGAGATGTTGAGTTCTTATTGGTAATAGCTTAGTGCCAGTTTATTTATATGGAGAGGGAACCATAGAAAGAGAGAGAATAAGACCATGAAGCAAGGATTCTAGCCAGAAGGCTAGGCATGGCACTTGCTATTAGTTTAGTTATGTGATATTGGTCTAGCCACCTAACTTTCATGAATCTCATTTCATTATCCTAAAATGGAAATAACAATTATATTTACCTTTGAAATTATAAAAAGATAAATATGTAAAATGGCTCTAAATACTGGGTCAGATCTAACAACTGGATATACTTGTAGGCAGAGGTTAGTGATATTTCTCTAATATTTAACCAAAATGAGGAAGGGACTCCCAGTAGGTCATGAAATACAGGTTTAACACTCTTCACAACTAGGACAGCAACATGCCAGGCATGTTTGAACACTTGAGCATGGGGTGGGGTTAGTGGAGAGACAAAGTTGCTGATGAAAGCTACATTGCAAGAAGACAATGGGACCCCAGAAGAAGAATCATCATGGTTATCATGTGTCTGATACAGCAAGAAGGAAGAAACCGTGGTTATGAGAATAATTTAGCCTATAATAAAACTTACTTTTTCCAAGTTGTCTGTGGTTACCTTCCCAGTTTTGAGATTAAAAAGGGTTATTAACAACTATTAACAACTGCATCTTTAAGGCCCAACATTCCTAGTCTGGGTTTTTCTCCATAGAATAGTTGAGTATGAGAAAGGAAAAATGTTTCCTATTAACTTGAAAAGGAATTAAATACCTGAAATATGCAGGCTGGGAGGTTTGAGCAAAACATCAATGACAATTAGAGACAATAGTGGTAAAACAAGCACATTCACCAATGGGCTTTATAAATTAAAGATGGACAAAATAACAGCATGTTGGACCTCAGCAGAGGGTTTTTGGCCTATGGGGTCTATGGAGTAATAAACCGATGAGGAGAATGGCAATGGAGAATTGCCAAGGGAAACAAGGAGAGCAGCTCTTGAGTTCAGAAAACGGTGGAGGTTTAGGATGCATTGGAAAGCATCTCTCTGTAAATCCCCCGTTTGGGACTCCCAGTGACACCTCAGAATGGAACAATAGCAGAGGCCCTCACAGTTGTTTTAGGCAATCATCAATAAAAACAAATTTAAGGTAAACTCTCAATTAGTTTGCTTAGGATCGAAGCTGATGGGCACTTAGGAGTTTCTGTTTTCATGTTTCTAACATTTTAAGGTTTCAGCATTAAATAGAACTTGCAAAATATTTGCTATGTTTTAGAAATATCTTCATCATGAATGAATTAAATTTTAATAATTTCACTTATTGTGACCTAAATGTTCAATGCTCCAGAATTTAGATGATTCTGATATTTAAAATCACCATTGTTATGCGCATGCATAGGCAAATCAAAAGGACATTTCTCTTCATTTTATGTAAAATGTTTCTTCTAACTTCATACCAATTCTTTCATAAATTTCCTTAGCCCATGCCAATTCTTCTTCCCATAACCAATGGCAGAACCAAAGGAATAACTTGGAATGTTTCAGCTTTGCTTTCTCAGTGAGGAATAAACTTTCTAGCAGCCAGAAATACTTCTAGCCTCAGGTGATAGAAATCTCAAGCAATGGCTTTAACAAATATGACTTTTTTTTCCCCCTGAGACCATAAAAAGCCTTGAGGAAGGAAGTTGCTAGTATTGGTTCAGTGGTTTGGTGATGTCAGAGGTGGATGCTCTGACATTCTCATGCTAACAAAATAACTGCCAGTATTAACACATTACATCCTCAGTCAAGATTGAAGGAAGAGGTGATGGCAACAGATGCTTAAATCTCTTTACCAGGAAAAGAGAATCTTCCCCAGATAATTCTAGTAGAGCAATCATTATGTATGTATCATTAGGTGAAACTGTAATACGTGACCACCTTTAGCTTTGAGAGTGTACATAAATATGCAAATTTAACATTTCTATTTCTTCAGAAGGTAGGCAAGGGGAAAAGGATTAGGAAAAGATATTTGATTAGCAAGCCAAAGATGTTTGCCCTAGTACCCACCCCTTCTTCAAGACACACTAAAATTGTTTTAAAAGTATGTTTGTTGAATAAACACAGTGTGAACGTGAAACTTTTGGCATCTCTTTTGATTCATCTTGCATATTTTAAGCCCTTCCATATGAATTATTGAACCATAAATGTTCCTATTCCATTTCCTTCGCTGTCAAAATCACTCTATTGCTGTGTGTGAGAGGGAGAGAGATAGAAATAGGGAGACAGAGAGAGACAGAAAGAGAGAGAAGGTGATTGACTTTAGACTGTAGCCAAAGTTAAAAATGTAGTCATATTTCTAATGTCCTAATTTACTTCAATTTATCCCATTCTACCTTTAAGTTGTACCAGGTATTTCCAGGTTGCTTGCTTGCTTGTTCTTCTTGATTGTTTTTTTTTTTTTTAAGGATGCCTGAGTGCTCTTTCTCCTCTTTTACCACCTGGAGATTTCCTAATTATCCCCAGAGTCACAGAGTAACTGCAGTCTTCTACATGAAGCATTTCTGATTCCTGATTTTCTGTTGGCAGTGCTGTCTGCCCTCTCCATTGTGCTGTGAAAACAAATTGCACATGCCTTCTCAGCATGTGATAATTACTTAGGTAACTTATGCCTGCCTTTCAGCCGAAGGTGTCTCTGTGTGTCCCTGAGAATATGGAAAGAAGTGAATTTATTGGTTGAACATGTATAAAATGAATATAATACACAGTTTTAAATGTGAAATAGTGAATACAAGTATTTGCTGCCCAGAATAAGGAATAGAATGGAGCAATGCAGCATGTTAGAAGCCCCATTACACCACTACTCCTCTGCACTCTCATACCAGCCATGAAGATGGAACCCTTATCTTGACTTGTGTTAAACTTTCCTTCTATTTTTTATTTTTATTTTTATTTTTTTGAGACAGGGTCTCTCTCTGTCACCCAGACTTGAGTGCAGTGGTGTGATCATGGCTCACTGCAGCCTTAACCTTCCAGGCTCAAGCGATCCTCCCACCTCAGCCCCCTGAGTAGCTGTGGCTACAGGTATGAGCCACCATGGCCGGATAATTTTTTTTAATTTATCTCCCTAAGGGACCCAGGCTGATCTCAAACTCCTAGCCTCAAGCTATCCTCCTGCCTTAGTCCCCCAAAATGTTGGGATTTCAGGCGTGAGCCACTGTGCCCAGCCCAAATTTTACTTTATTTTATTTTTGCATTTTTTCAGCTATGCATGTGTGCTTATTAATAATGGTACATATATCATTTCCTATTTCATAAGATTATTTTGAAGACTAATTGAATTTTATGATACACTTAAAATTAACTTCTACATGGAGAAGCACAAGTGTTATTTATGGTTTTGTTGGTATTGATGCTTTATTACTGTTATTTAACATGTTTCCCAGTATACTTGATAAGAGTTTCTCTAGGACATATACATAGGTGTGTAATAGGTTGGACTTTAGAATATGCAAACATATTCAACTGTGCCAACTAATACCAAACTGTTTTCCCAAATTGCATGCTGCAATTTATAGTCTCACAAGGAATACATGAGAAAATGCCATGTTCCATTTCTTTATAGTGTTTGCTATTATCAGATATTTTATTAGACTGGTATTAGAAAGGGTTTAAAAGGCATTTCATTGTGTATTTAATTTCGTTTCTCTAGATGGTGATGTTTAAGTGTCTTTTCACATATTTAGGTTGTTTGGGTTTACAATTTTGTCAAAACCTCCTTTTAAGACTTTGGCCAATTCTTACATTCCCTTGTTTGTCTGATTATTATTGATGTATGAATGTTCTTCATATATTTTATATATGAATCTTTTGTCAGTTTAAGGATTGAAAATAACAGTAGTTAGTCTTTTCATACTTTTTATGCTAACATTTCGTAAATATTAAATTCTTAATTTCAGTTCAGCAGAATTTCTCATTCTTTGTTGTACCTTTTGGGTTTTGTGTAAAAAGTTGTTCAGTAAACTATTCTCCTGTATAGTTTTTCAAAAGTTTTCGAGTTTTGCCTTTAGATGTAGGCCTTTACAACTGATTGACTTTTGTGTGTGGCATAAGATGAGAATTCAGTTTCATACTCCCCACTTCACGGGATAGTTCTCAGGATTAAACAAGTTAATATATCAGTATTCTTAGAGGAATTCTTAGCTTAATGTAAGTACTCAATATTTGTTAACTCTTATTATTATTTATTTCTATCTTGCTTTTCTGGGCCTTTCTGTTTTCCAAATTGGTAGAATATTAGACTTTTACCTCCTTTTCCACTTCATCCTATTTTATACCAGCTTTTTAAGGCTGTCTACCATATTCATGTAACTTGTAGCAGACAAAGTCTATTCTGCACTTGGATCCATGAAACACAACATAAAATTTAAATTAGAGGGTTTTTGTTTGGTTGTTTTTGTTGTTGTTTCTTTCCCCCTGCCACCAAAGATGGTGGTTTAGAGGCTTTCAGTGTACCTCAGCCACTTGGAAATAGCAAGGTAGTACATAAAGATTAACTCTGTGAGCTTTAATTCCAGAAGGAAAACAAGAACCCACCTAAATTATGAAGGACACCCCAGATCCCCAAGAGGAGATTGCAGGCAAACAGCCCTTGTGATGGTATTTGGCTGACAAAAGTGAGTGAAGCCCCAGCGTGGGAGAGACACACAGCCTCCCTCTGTGACTCACTTTTTCACTGGGGATCTGAGCAGCCTAGGCCAGGAAAGAACCCTTTTGTTTCTCCCAAACTCTGGAGCTAATTTGGGGAGAGGATTGGAGGCACCCAGAAGGAAAGACATCAGGAAAAGCTGCAGGCATTTTCCCAGACCCATGAGCAAGTAGGATGCTATTTTTGATAAGCGTGCATACAAAGTCATTCTTTGGTGATCTTGCAGCATGATTCCTCAGACATTTAGTCTCAGGTTGAAGATTGGAATGCCTTCTCTGAAGCAGGATAGAGGCTTCCACAGCAAAAATTATGGACAATGCCCCAGCAGAATTGTGCTCTCCCCATCACAAGCCTGGAGTGGGAGGGGAGCTGCAACAGCTGTGGTTTCTCCTGGTTGAAGAGACTTGCAGCCAGGGCCAATGTGGCTATGTGGAACCAGCATGTATATGTCCTTGCTGGGTGGTCCAGACTGCTCCCCTGAGATTGTGGTGCAGTGGAGTCCTCTCTGCTGAGTCTCCAGTCAGAACTCTAGACATTCAGAGTGCCTGCTTGCCTGGCCCAGCAGCCCGAGCTCTCTCACCCTTCCTATGCAGAAACTGTGGTGCAGGAGGCCCTCTCCACTTCCCACCTAAGCAGGTCTTCAGCCATGTGGAGCACCCACTTGCCTGGATGAGCAGCCTGAGCTGCTCTACCATTCTTGTGGAGAGATCTGGGTTCAGGGGGCCCTCTTTGCTTCACATCCAGGCAGATTTTCAGGCACCTGGAGCACCTGCTTGCCTGGTTCAGTAGCCTCAGTTACCCAGCCTTCCTGTGCAGGAGGCTCTATCTGCTTCATGCCCAGGCAGATCTTCAGGCATCTGGAACTCCCACTCTCCTGGATGTGGAGTTTAGGCTGCGTCCCCCTCCCCATGCAGAGAACTTGGCGCCAAGGAGGTTTCTAACTCCAGAACTATGTACACCTCTGGGCACTTGGTGGCTTCCCACTGGATTCTCCCTTGGCAGTAGTGTTTGTGCCTGCCATCACAGGACCTGTAGGTAGGCCTACCCAGTCCAGCCCTGTCCATCTTTCCACCACACCCCCAGGACTGAGCAGGGAGCTCAGACCACTGTGCACCTCAAAGATAAGTCCATTGCATGAGGCAACAGAGAACTCTCTCCAGTAAGCAAGGATAAAGCATATATCCGCTCACATTGGCTACAACCACCTTTTACTCATAAGCACCATCTACTGGCTTGTAGGTCAAACCGCACAGCCTAATAAAAACTCACCAAAAGAAGTGCATAGGACTACAGAGAAGCAAAGCCAAAAGACCCTACCCAATATTCTCTTCAGTCACACCCCCTAAGAAAGGAAAAAAAATGCAAAAGAAAAGAAAAAATATACATAATATTACATGGGAAGAAAGAAAAACAAAAGTTCTACCTACAAAAAAATAATTACAAAAATTAGAAGTTCCAGTGTCTCCAGATGAGAAGGAACCAGTGCATGAAATCTGGCACCATAAAAAATCTGAATGTAGTGACACCACCAAAAGATTGCACTAGCTCTCCAACAAAGGTCCTTAGCCAAATGGAAACTCAAAAATGACAGATAAAGAATTCAAAGAATAGATAGCCAGGAAGTTCACTGAAAGCCAAGACAAGGTTGAAAATCATTACATAGAAATTTCTTAATCAGTCCAGGAAATGAAGGAAAATATAAACATGTTAAAAAGAAATCAATCAGAGCTTCTGAAGTTGAAAAACTCAAAGATTTTCAAAATACAAGTGAAACCTTTATCAATGGACTTCACTAAGCAGAAGAAAGAAATTTAGAGGCCAGTCATGGTGACTCCTGCCTGTAATTCCAGCACTTTCAGAGGCCGAGGTGAGCGGATCACTTGAGTTGAGGAGTTCAAGACCAGCCTGATCAACATGGTGAAACCTTATCTCTACTAAAAATATAAAAATTAGCTGGGCATGGTGGTAGGCACCTGTAGCCCCAGCTACTCAGGAGGCTGAGGCAGGAGAATCACTTGGGCCTGGGAGGCAGAGGTTGCAGTGAGCTGACATCATGCCACTGTACTTTAGCCTTGGTGACAGAGTGAGACCCTGTCAAAAAAAAAAAAAAAAAGAAGAAGAAGAAAAAGAAATTTAGAGTTTGAATACTGATTTTTTTTTTTTTTTGAGACGGAGTCTCGCTCTGTTGCCCAGGCTGGAGTGCAGTGGCATGATCTCGGCTCACTGCAAGCTCTGCCTCCTGGGTTCACGCCGTTCTCCTGCCTCGGCCTCCCAAGTAGCTGGGACTACAGGTGCCCACCACGACACCTGGCTAATTTTTTGTATTTTCAGTAGAGACAGGGTTTCACTGTGTTAGCCAGGATGGTCTCGATCTCCTGACCTCATGATCCGCCTGCCCCGGCCTCCCAAAGTGCTGGGATTACAGGCATGAGCCACTGCACCTGGCCTGAAGACTGATTTTTCAAACTAACTTGGACAAAAATAATTTTAAAAGGGATTTTAAAAAATGAACAGTCTTCAAGAAATATGAGACTATGTAAAGCAACCAAGGTGATAAATTATTGGCATTCCTGAGAGAAAAGGAGAAAAGGTAAACAACCTGGAAAACATATTTGATGGAATAATTCAAGAAAGTTTTTCTAATCTTGCTAGAGAGGTAGACATCCAGATACAAGAAAACCAGAGAACACCTGCAACATAATATACAAAATGAATATCCCCAAGGCATATAGTCACCAGACTGCCCAAAGTCAATGCTAAAGAAAAAATCTTAAAGTCACCTAGAGAAAAATGTCAAATCATGTACAAAAGGAACCCCGTCAGGCTAACGGCAGATTTCTCAGCAGAAACCTTACCAGCCAGGGAAGATTGGGGACATACTTCCAGCATTCTCAAAGACAAGAAATTCCAACCAACCAAGAATTTCATGTCCCACCAAATTAAGCTTCATAAAAGGAAAAATAAAGTATTTTTCAGACAAGCAACTGCTAAGGGAACTTGTTACCACTAGATTAGTATTACAAGAGATTGTTAAGGGAATTCTAAATATGTAAACAAAAGAACAATACCAGCTACCACAAAAACACATTTAAGTACAGAACCCACAGATCCTATAAAGCAACAATAACATAGAAACTTCAAAGCAACCATTAACAGCTCCAAGATTGGATCAAAACCTCACATATCAATATTAACTTTGCATGTAAACAGTCTAAACATCCAATTTAAAGGGCACAAAGATGCAAGCTGGATTAAAAAAGAAAAAGATTCATCCATCTGCTGTCTTCAAGAGACCCATCTCACATGTAATGATACCCATAGGTTCAAAGCATAGGGTTGGAGAAAGATCCATCATGTAAATAGAAAACAAAAAAAGAGCAGGGGTCACTATTCTTGCAACAGATAAAATAGACTTTAAACCAATAACAGTAAAAAAGGTAGAAGAAAGGCATTACAGAATGATAAAGGGTTCTATTCAACAAGAAGACTTAACTATCCTAAATATATATACACCCAACATTGGAGCACTCAACCTTATAAAACAACTGCTTCTAGACCTAGGAGAAGACTTAAAGAGCCACATACTAATAGTGGGGTCTTCAACAGCTCACTGACAGCATTAGACAGATTATTGAGACAGAAAACTAACAAAGAAATTCTGGACTTAAATTCAATGCTTGACTAAGTAGACCTACTGGACATCTACAGAACACTCCACCCATCAACCACAAAATATACATTATTTTCATCTGCACACAGAACATACTTCAAGATCAGTCACATGCTTGAACATAAAGTCACATGCTCAGCCATTCATAATGTTGAATAATCAAATAAATCAAAATCTTACCAACCATACTCAGACCATAGTGGAACAAAAATAGAAGTCAATACTAAGAAGATCTCCCAAAACCACACAATACATAGAAATGAAACAACTTGTTCCTGAATGACTTTTGTTTAAAAAATGAAATTGATAAAGAAAACAAAAAATAAATTCTTGGAAATAAATGAAAATAGAGACACAACATACCAAAATCTCTGGGATGCAGAAAAAAGCAGTGTTAAGAGGAAAATTTATAGTGCTAAATGCCCACCTCAAAAATTAGAAAGATCGCAGATTAACAATGTAACATCACAGCTAGAGGAACTAGAAAAATCAAAATATACCAGCCCCAAAGTTAGCAGAAGAAAATAAATTACTAAAATCCGAGCAGAACTGAACAAAATTGAGACTCAAAAATTTACACAAAGAATTGATAAAACCAAAAGTTGGTTATTTGAAAGGATAAAGAAGATTGATAGACCACTAGCTAGATTAACAAAGAAAAAATGAGAACATCCTTTTAACCATAATCAGAAACAAAGGTGACATTACAATTGATCTAACAGAAATACAAAAAATCTTGAGACTATTATGAACACCTCTATGCACACAAACTAGAAAGTCTAGAGGAAATGGATAAATTCCTGGAGACACACAACCTCCCAAGATTGAATCAGGAACAAATTTAAAATGTGACCAGGCCAATATTGAGTTCTGCAATTGAATCAGCAATTTTAAAAAACCCTACCAACCAAAAAAAAAAAAAAAAAAAAAAAAGCCCTGGACCAGATGGAGTCATAGCTGACTTCTACCAGATGTACAAAGAAAACTTCATACCAGTTCAACTATTACAAAAAATCAAGGAAGAGGATCTTCTCCCTAACTCATTCTATGAAGCCTGCATCACCCTGATATCAAAACCTGGCAAAGACACAAAGAAGCAAAACAAAAACAAAAGCAAAAACAAAAATAGGTCAGTATCCCTGATGAACATAAACACAAATATCCTTAACAAGATACTACCAAGCTGATTTTAGCAGCACATCAAAATGAATTCATTATGATCTAGTAGGCTTCATTCCTGGCATGCAAGTTAGATTCAACATATGCAAATTAATGTATATGATTCACCACATAAACAGAATTAAAAACCAAAACCATATGATCATCTCAATAGACATGGAAGAAGCGTGCAATATAATCTAACAACCCTTCATAATGATAACCCTAAAAAAATTAGACATAAAAGGAACATACCTCAATAAGCGCAATCTATGATAATCCTACAGCCAACATCATATTGAAGAGGCAAAAAATGGAAGCATTCCCCTTAAGAACTGGAACAAGACAAGGATGCCCACTCTCACTACTACTGTTCAATGTAGTACTAGAAGTCCTAGCCAGAGGAGTCAGGCAGGAGAAACAAAGAAAAGGGATCCACATAGAAAAAAAAAAAAAAAAAGAGTCAAACTATCTCTTTTTTTTTGCTGATTCTACACCTAGAAAACCCTAAAGACTCCACCAAAAGGCTACTGGTACTGATAAATGTCTTCAGTAATTTTTCAGGATACAAAAATATTGTACACAAATCAACAGCATTTATATACAACAATAACATTCAAGCTGAGAGCCAAATCAAAAATGTAATCCCACATAAAAATAAAATACCTAGAACTACATCAAGCAAGGAGATGAAAGACTTCTGTGAGGAGAACTACAAAACACTGATGAAAGAAATTGTAGATGACATGAACAAATGAAAAAAAATTCCACGCTCATGTATTGGAAGAATCAGTGTCATTCAAATGACCATACTTCCCAAGGCTATCTACAGTTTCAAAGTATTTCTATCAAACTACCAACTTTATTTTTCACAGAATTAGGAAAAGCAATTCTGAAACTAGTATGGAATCAAAAAAGAGTCCGAACAGCAAAAGCAATCTGAAGCAAGAAGAACAAAGTCAGAGAAATTACATTACTGACTTCCAACTGTACTATAAACAAACCACAGTATAACCAAAACAGCATTGTACTGGCATAAAAACAGACACATATACCAATGGAACAGGACAGAGAATAGAGAACCCAGAAATATAGCTTCACACCCACAGCCATCTGACCTTCACAAAGTTGACAACAATAAGCAATTGGGAAATGACTCACTATTCAATAAATGGTGCTGGTACAGCTGGCTAGCCATATGCAGGACCCTTACCTTTCACCACATACAAAAATTAACTCAAGATGGATTAAAGATTTAAATGTTGGTCTTCAAATTATAAGAATCCTAAAAGATAATCTAGGAAACACCGTTCTAGACTCAGCCTTGGTAAAGAATTTATGATTAAGTCCTCAAAAACAATTGCAACATAAACAAAAATTGACAAGTGAGACCTAATTAAGCTAAAGAGCTTCTGCACAGCTAAAAAAGCTAACGACAGAGTAAATAGACAACTTACAGAATAGGAGAAAATATTTGCAAACTATGAACTGACAAAGGTCCATTATCCATACTCTATAAAGAATTTAAACAATTCAACAAGCAAAAACAATCTCATTCAAAGTGAGCAAAAGATATGAACAGATACTTCTCAAAAGAAGTCCTACTCATAGCCAACAAACATGAAAAAATGCTCATCATTGGTAACCATCAGAGAAATGCAAATCTAAACCAAATGAGATACCATCTCACACCAGTCAGAACGGCTACAATTAAAAAGTCAAAAAATAACAGATGCTGGCAAGGCTCTGTTATAAAAGGGGAATGCTTATTTACTGTTAGTGGAAATGTAAATCAATTCAGCCACTGTGAAAAGCAGTTTGGATACTTCTCAAAGAACTTAGAGCTACCATTCGACCCAGCAATCTCAATCTCAATATTGTTTGTGTGTGTTTGTATGTACATATATATAGAGAGAGAGAGAGGAGAGAGAGAGAGAGAGAGAGAGAGAGAGATGCATTTGTATGTTCATTGCAGCACTATTCACAATAGAAAAGACATGGAGTGTCCATCAACTTGTGCCCATCAACAGAAGATTGGATAGAGAAATGTGATACATATACACCATGAAATACTATGAAGCCATAGTAAAGAATGAAATCATGTCCTTTGCAGCAACATGGATGCAGCTGGAGGCCATTATCCTAAGCAAATTAATGCAGGAACAGACAACCAAATGCTACATGTTCTCACTTATAAGCAGGAGCTAAACGTTGAGCACTCATAAACATAATAGATAACTGCAGACTACTAGAGAGGGGAGAGAGGTAATGGGGCATGGATTGAAATGCTAGCTATTAGCTATTGAGTACTATACTCACTGCTTGGGGGATGCGGTCATTTGTATCCCAAACTTCAGCATCACACAATGTAACAAACCTGCACACATACCCCTGAATCTAAACAGGTCAAACTATTTTTTAGAAAGAAGGTAAAGCAAACTAGAGGCTTTCCTAAGGAACTGGAGAGTGAATGCACTTTAAGCCTTGACATCATGAGATGTATCAGATAACATAGTGGATCCTTAATATTTTAACTAAATTTTCTTTCTTATTCTTTACATTTGCATATTTCTGTCTAGGATAGTAAAAATTTATCCTTATAAATTACATTACATTTTTATCCCAGCCACAACCTTAAGTTTGCATTCCCATTTATGCTGATTAAAAACAAAACCAAACACTATTCAAGTTCTCATTCTGGGCAGTGGGTACTTGTATTCACTATTTTACACTTAAAAATATATTATATGTATTTATTATAAATGTTAACTATATAGAAGTTATCTTTTAGAAATAGATTCAATTTAACTCAATATGTATACATTATGATGTAATTTGGTAAACTCAAAATATATTTTTCAGTATCTTAGATGCAGAAGGTAAAATTCAGAGGAAAAGATTAATGATATGATGCAATATGTAATATATTCTAAATGGCCGTAATTACACATTATTTAACTTCTTAAATGGTTATTTTTTTTCTCATAGGAGAGTACACTATTCCAATAGATCACAGTAATCACCATTCTCAGATACATTACTCTATTATTTCCATCCTAATATGACAAAGCTAAGAAATAGGAAATTCTGCCCAGGAAATGGTTGTGAGAGGAGTGTTGCAGATAACGAAAATGTACATTTTACAAAGCAATTTTATTAAAATTTTTAATAGTTTTTCTAATGTCTCTTATTTAATGGACAGTTCAGTTTAAGAAAATGTGGTTGGTTAATTAAAAATTAAGTTCAGATATACAAACATATTTTGTCAACAACCTGTGTATAAAGACATAACAGTTGTGTCTGCTGTCAGTGAGTGCTTTAGGAATTAACTTTTACTTGGGGTTTTATAAATTCCTCAATGTTAAGAGATTTGAACTTTTTCTCATCTTCTCTTTGGGTTTTGAGCCAAAGCTGGACGCCTAAAATGACAAAATACTACAAGGAAAATGTCTTGTAATTTTCTGGCAGTTGCCCAGAATATAACATTGAAAGTAACTCTCAAAAGTGTTTTCTGTGAAGAGCCACTGAAGCGATAATTTTTTAGATGTTACCCTAGTGGCCTGAAAGACATGATGCAAGTTCAAAAAAAGGAAAGAGAAAAATACGCTTGTGCATCCAGGGAGTAACTTACTAACTGATGCATCAATTTTGAAATTCAGCAGAAAAATAAAAAAATTGATTCAATCTTTATCTCTAAGGGAACTAGAGGTCATTTAGTGTAAGTATGTCCTTTTAGTCTCATGATATAAAAGTTTGAAAATGCTTTTTATCAACACACATGTTTTCTTATATATTATGGGCATAATCCATATAATATAAAATTGATATTCAAATTTCTATGCTTTTTTACATGTTAGCATACATGAAAAATTTAGTTCCTATGACTTTAGAATTTATGTCAATATTTCCTTTTATTTTAACTGGGATTTATAATTTCTTTCAGTTTCATTTATCACAAAGAGTTTCAGAATAAATTTGATTATATTATGACATTTCTTACTGTTAGAGGCGTTTGAACCAGAGCAACTCCATTTTGAATAGGAGCTGGATAAAATGAGGCTGAAACTTACTTGGCTGTATTCCCAGAAGGTTAGGCAGTCTGTCTCAGAATGAGACAGGAGGTCAGCACAAGATACAGGTCATTAAGGCCTTGGCAATAAAACAGTTTGCTGATAAAAAAGAAGCCAGCTAAAACCCACCAATACCAAGATGGCAACGAGAGTGATCTCTCATCGTCCTCACTGCTACACTCCTACCAGGACCGTGACAGTTTACAGATGCCATGGCAATGTTAGGAAGTTACCCTGTGTGGTCTAAAAGGGGGAGGCATGAATAATCCACCCCTGTTTAGCATATCATCAAGAAATAACCATAAAAATGAGCAACCAGCAGCCCTCGGGGCTGCTTTTCCTATGGAGTAGCCATTCTTTATTTCTTTACTGTCAGGCCTCTGGGCCCAGGCTAAGCCATCATATCCCCAGTGAATTGCACGCATACATCCAGATGGCCTGAAGCAACTGAAGATCCACAAAAGAAGTGAAAATAGCCTTAACTGATGACATTCCACCATTGTGATTTGTTTCTGGCCCACCCTAACTGATCAATGTACTTTGTAATATCCCCCACACTTAAGAAGGTTCTTTATAATCTCCCCCACCCTTAAGAAGGTTCTTTGTAATTCTCCCCACCCTTGAGAATGTACTTTCTGAGATCCACCCCCTGCCCCCAAAACACTGCTCCTAACTCCACTGCCTATCGCAAAACCTGTAAGAACTAATGTTGATCCCACCACCCTTTGCTGACTCTTTTCGGACTCAGCCCGCCTGCACCCAGATGAAATAAACAGCCTTGTTGCTCACACAAAGCCTGTTTGGTGGTCTCTTCACGTGGAGACACATGAGACATTTACTTTCTCAATAAACTTGCTTTCACTTTACTCTGTGTACTTGCCTCAATTTGTTTCTTGCCCAATATCCAAGAACCCTCTTTTGGTGTCCGGATCGGAACCCCTTTCTGATTACATTACTACTTATGTAGCATGATTAATATTGTACCACTTAATGATTTTTGCCTTGAATTGTATTTACATTGCCTATAATGTTACCTATATTATTTGTAGTAAGTTTGTATAGGGCATGACTGTTAGAGGTTACATGATTGCCTGACCCCATCAGTCAAGAGTCTCTGGTTTCTTGTTTGTTGTTTGATTAGGAGTTTTAAAATTTTATTTGCAATTGTTGTTATAACCTCAACATTTGTCTCTGTTTTGTCCCCTATGATTTGTTCATGTTTCCTTTGCTTTTGTCCTTTGATGTGAATACTTTGTTTCCTGCCTCTCCCCCTCCCTGACAAAACCCCGGTAGTGTTTTGGAGAATATTTTGTTTAAATTCTGCTCATGGTTATGTTTTACTTTTTTCAGAATTATTCTTTTAAATGGTTTATTAGTGATTAGGTTCAAGAATGAAATTTTAAGTCCTTGCAATTTGGAATAAGAAGCATAGCAAATACTTCCCTTGTGAAACGTTCTTCAAAAGTGATCTTTCTCTTATTTCTCCATCTTACTATAATTTCTGATGTAAAATCCTGATTATTGTTTTGAAACATTTGAACGTTAGTATTATTTTTCAGAATACTTCTGACATTTCACTCAGTTTAGGAATTATATTTTCAAAAAGTTATTTTTAATTACATCTATTTGAACTAATTTCAAAGCAACTATACCTGAATTTGATAAGATTATGCAAAATATTTTTTAAAGGGATAAACACAATGATGATACATTTTTGTATGCCCTCTATATCTAAATCCTTAAAATCATAAGACATTTCATGCACCTTCACATAGAAACAGTTTATTGGCTCTATACAATGTTTCTTAGGTCATATTTTCATCTAAATTTGAGAATTTGTTTCATTTTTATATTACCCAAGAGGATTTTTATTTGTTAACTTCCTATACAACATCTCTTCATTTATTTTACCCCAATTTATTCAGAGGCAGTTTTATAATCAAAATTATTTAATTTTTTCACATATTCATCTAGTTTAGCAGGAAACTAGTAGCACACATAAAAGGGGTAATTGAAGAAATGAGGGACTGTTCCCAAAAGTGTGTGCTGGGTTAAGAAAACCCAAAAAGGAAAGCCAAAAGGGGCAAGAAGGGAGAATGGTTACCATTTATCCCTGTGAGAGCTGAAACTGTAGGAGAGGGTCCATCTGACAGAAATTTTCTACCTTTGCAAGCAGTTGTCACTTCCAGACTGTGGCCAAACTGGGAGAGTCAGAGAAATAATAAGCATTCTGATATCTCAGTCTCCTGATGGTACTCACTGGCCCCACCCAACAGGCCTGCCAGGAGAAGGGGGAGCATGCTGATACCTCCCACTGTGATCTGCAATCAGTGGCCCCGGGAAGTAGTTATAATGATAAGACGAAAGGGAAAGTTTAAAACAATTTAGTGTAATTATTTTCCTTTCTTGATAAACGGGACCAATGCTGCTTGTTCTAACTCTTTCCCCTTTCCCCCATTCCTGTCTGGAAAGCAGATTGAACCCAAGTCCCTGAGAGTAACTTTAAGCAACTGCATCAGCTCTGGGTTGCCTAGATTTGAATTTATATTCATATGAGCAAAAGCAAACCTGAATGTTCTGTTTACTATTCCTTGCTGTTGTCATCTCTATTGTATAGTAATTGTCTTGATCCTGTATTTTCAATGTTTGAATATAGCTCTTCTCATTTCCATTGTCTGCTCCCTCTATGACATTTATTTTAATCCTAGATAATGATAACAGGTTATTAACTGACCTTTTACTTTATAATCTACACACTCTAAACTATCCTGGTATGGATTAAATTAATCTTTCCGAAACACCACTTCCACTATAGTGCCCCCCTGACAAAATCCCAGTAATTACTTTTATCCTATAGAATTAATTATAGTGTACTCCATAGACAGATGCTATTTGGCTCTGATCTACCTGTTGGATCTTATCTCTTAACACTTCCTATGGGTAGATGATGTTGCGACACAGCCATTTTAATGCCAGGCACATTTTGACAGTTCACTTTGATGTTGCTATTATAAGGAGGAGCAAATTTGGTTTTGCCAGAAAACAAACTGCTCTATGTACATTCCTTTCTTTCTTTTTAGGTTACCACTTCAATGAGTAAAAGAGGCATTGTAACCCTATCCTAAGCCCGTTGTCAAGCCATCTCCGAGCTTTATACCCTTCTCTCCTGTATGGAAATAATTTATGAACAGAGTTAGTACCCACTGACATGGTGTTTTCGACTGTTAAAATGCCAAAATAAATCCGTGCCTATGCTTAAATATGATAGTATTAACCTATAGTAAACAAAAATAAATGACAACCTAAGTTCTCATATGAACACTTTAGTTTAATGTAACAGATGTAGGATGGCACGGTAAGCATGATAAAGGTTCTTCTGCCACACCCACACCACAGGAATGTTTGTCTGTATCATTTTGGGCAGTGTTGCTTTGGTTCTCATTCTGTAGAAAAACTGTGCTTAAGGAGATTCCTCAGGGTTTGCTATTCACAAAAGAGGTCATTGCTGCCCCTTTTCAATTATTGGAATTTTACATTTTTCCTCTCTTTCTTTCTTTTTTTTGAGACAGGGTCTAGCTCTATTGCTCAGGCTGGAGTGCAGTGGTGTGATCGGAGCTCACTTCAGTCCTCAACTTCTGGGGTCAAGTGATCTTCCCGCCTCAGCCTCCCGAGTAGCTGGTACTATAGGTATGCTCCACCACACCACTAATTTTTAAAATATTTTGTAGAGACAAGGTCTCACTGTGTTGTTCAGTCTGGTCTCAAACTCTTGGCCTCAAGCCTGCCAAAGCACTGGAATATAGGAATGAGCCACTATACTCAGCCAGAACATTTTATTCTGATAAACTGTTGTGATTTTTATAATACTCATAAATTCAACAATTCTAGTAGAATATCAAAAACTAACATGAAGAACAAACAAGACAACAAAGTTTGGATAATATCATTGACATTTCTTTAATGTGTCACAGAAATAAATCTTTTGAATTTATAAAAGGACAGAAATTGTGCACATTTTTATTAACTTTTGTGATCAAAATAGAAAATTACCAAAATAAGATGAATCTCTATTGTTGGTGCTTGAAGGAAATGTTGCAATAGGAAATATTCATATGAAAACCATATTAGATTTTGTATAGATGGTGCTGATATCATGACAAAAGCTAATTTTTAAATTATTTATTTATTTATTTATTTTTAGAGACAAGGTCTCACTCTATCTCTGAAAACAAAACAAAACAAAACAAAACACTCTGCAGAGTGCAGTGGCCTTCACAGCTCCTGGGCCCAAATGATCCTCTCATTGTAGTCGACTGGCACAACAGGCACAAACCACCGTACCCAGTTAATTTTTCTTATTTTAGAGACGTGGTCGGGGGGTGTCTCCCCAGGCTGGTCTCAAATTCCTGGCCTCAAGCAATCCTCCTGGCTCAGCCTCTCAAGTAGCTGGGATTGCAGACACGAGCCACTTTGCCCAGCTAAAAGCAAGTTTTTAGTTTTAGCCAACATTAAAAAATTTTGTTTTTTTTAACAGAGTACTACTTTCCATGATGTTCTCAATTAACTATAGATCATTCGATAAAAGAAATCAAGTAAATTACATACATGCCTGTCTTGATAAATTATGTGTTTTTCTAAAATACATCAAGTAATATGAGAGGATTAAATAATAAATCTGAAGAGTTAAGAACTGAAATAGAAAGTTAAAAATTATAACTCAAAGGAAATTATGTAATGAAGAGATTAAAAAAACAGTTTGAAAACACATTTTGACCTTGTATTTCATTAGAAAATGTGAAATCAGAATGATAAACTTTGGGGAAACACACACACACGTGTGTGTGTGTATCATACATATATAATACATATACAAATACCTATATAATTACATATATACATACATATGTAAATATATATTTTTAAAATATATATGTGATATATATGGTATATATACATACATAAATATATATATTAGAAATTGTTTTAACAACTTTTATTCTAAAACAGTCAATTATCTATTTTGCTTTACAAAAAGGTAATGTTTCAATCATTCAAAATAAATTTGACCTAATAAGTGATTGACTATGTGTACAACTACTTACAGAAAACCAGAAAGAAAAGTGGAAGATATGAAAATGGTGAAATATGTTTTACTTGAAAAATAGCAAAAGAAAAATTCTGAAGTTAAAAGCTTTTAGATTGTCTATTATTAAGTAAAAATAGGCAGAGCGCGGTGGCTCATGCCTGTAATTCCAGCAGTTTGGGAGGCTGAGGCCAGTGGATTACCTGAGGTCGGGCATTGGAGACCAGACATAGTGAAACCCCGTCTCTACGAAAAATACAAAAATTAGCCGGGGCATGATGGTGCAAATCTGTAATCCCAGCTACTCGGGGGGCTGAGGCATGAGAATTCATTGAATCTGGGAGGCGGAGGTTGCAGTGAGCCAAGTTGTGCCACTGCACTCCAGCCTGGGCGACAGAGCAAGACTCTTTCTTAAAAAAATTATTAGAAGAAGAAATAAATAAAAATAATATTAAATAAAAATGCCTTTACTGCCTGATGACAAACATGTAAATCATAATAAATATTTAGGATCTTTCATTTTATTTATTTTAATATGCATTTAGTCCTAAAAATAACAAAATAATGTCTCCGAAATTCTGTGGATAAATATAAACAAAAAATGTTGAAATTAAAGCAACTAATTAAAAATGATACTCCCAAGTGTGACTTTTTTGACTTGATAAATAAGATATATCAAGTACTTGTAAATATGTTTACACACGTTATACACACTATTTTGAATTTTATTGCTGGTATTTTTGAAGAATATGAGATAGTTTAGCATAATAAAAATATATTTTTTTCATAGATCATAAGAGAATTATTCTCCAAATTGAAATTTTGTTTTCTAATCATTATTAATGTAATGGCAAAGTCTTTAGAAAATGTTAACGAGTTTATGTATATCATCTCCTACCTGAGAAAGGATAATCTTTCACTTGTGACAGTCATGCCATACAAAAGATTACATGAACAATTAAAAAAAATCAATCAATGATTCAGAAGTTAATGATAGATAATTTATGTTATAATTTATTGCTTGGTAAGAAGTTTAAAAATAGGTGCAATATCTTTATTTTTATACTATATATATATACATATATACTAATTTATAAACCTATTCCAATTGCACGTTGACCATTACTCCTGGGTATGAGCTACTAAAGGATCAGGCATGTGTTGGGAAGCCTGGGGTAACATGTTACGGGATTCGGCAACATCCGTTAGGTAAACCATGTGCAATCATAACCTATGTGCTTATTTAAAAATAAAAGCACTTTACTCTGCTCATTCCTGGAGAATATGAATATTCGAAATATTTTGAATACTCTGAATTTTGAATATTCTCTAATTTGTGGGTTTGTGTTGTGATTCATTATACAAAGGCTTTATTAACTAATAATACATTTGGTTCAAGGGAAAGAGGAATGATAAACTTGGTAACTGGGTGTTTGGTAATTACAAACGTAGCAACTTCCTTAAAGAAAAAAGTTCAAAATGAATTTTGTGAGAAGCAAAAACTGGCTGCAATGTGGTAAGTTAGTATGAAATAAAGATGTCTTTCTTATACATTATTGTACCAAAAAAATACACAGGTAATTTTATTTTGTCAGGATTTTTTTTTTTTTTTTTTTGGACATAGCTATGTCCAAGTAGTAGCATACACATACCTGGAATGAAATGTCCTGGTTCTTCCTCTGTGTGACACCTTGACTCAGCCAAATGGTCCCTTTGTCTTGGTCTTAACACCTCCCCATTTATTTCCCAAATATCCAGTTCAATTTTTACATTTTCCTTATTGTTCTATGGTAATCACTCCTATCAACCTCTGTGAAAAAATTACTATTTATATTATTTTCCAGTTATTTCCATAATATCTTGTTACTTTTAAACTGTTCTGTATGTATACATCGAGTCTCCCCAAATAGTTTCTAAGATTCTTGTGAGTCTTTAACTTTTTCATAACTCTATATAGTTCAATTCATTCCAAATTTTAATGTGTAATTCTGTCTTCAATTAATTGAATAAACTTTGAGGAACCATTTAATTACAATCCATGTTTTTATAAAACAATATACACCCATAGAGATAAAAAGAAACCATTTATAATTTTTGTTATATAACAGAAGTTTAATGAAGTCTGTACTTTTAATTAGCATATGCACAATACACTTATTTGTACTTACGATATATTATAGACTATTGACCCCACTGAAAAGAGTCATCACACGAATTTTGTTGCAGGTATATTAAGGTGCTTGATTACAGGGGACTACCTGAGACTTCACTGGGTTGTTCCAAAACTTGCAGTATATGCACTGGATTAATTTCTTAATGTGTGAAATATTTGCACTTTTGAAATACATCTGGACCCAAGGGTTTTGGACAAGGGTTGTGAACATGTATCCATTTTTCACTTTAAAATTAGTAATGCTAATGTCATTTATATGACTCTATTACTCTAAAATATGTCCCCCTGCCTTTTCTCTCTCTTCTCCATTCTCCCCTCTCTTTCCTCATCAACTCTCCCATCTATCTCTCTCTAAGAATTTCATCATGCACAGTAGGAAGCAATTATTTTTCAAATATTTCATTACAGAGCAAATTCATTTATAAAAATTTGACATGCAAGCATAGATTGTAAGACAAATGAAATAGCATCTGGAATGTAATAGGTAAAAAAGCTTAAATTTATAAATAATTAGATAAAATAGGTAATTTTATATTTAATTATGTGTTGCCACCTGATACATTATTTGTACAGATATTAAGAAATCTTAATTGAATAAATTT
>NW_003315960.1:0-44225 GCF_000001405.40 Homo sapiens | reverse complement strand
TATAAATATTTTCACATATTTATATATGTCTATATAAATATTTTCACATATTTATATATGTCTATATAAATATTTTCACATATTTATATGTCTATATAAATATTTTCACATATTTATATGTCTATATAAATATTTTTATATATTTATATGTCTATATAAATATTTTTATATATGTATATATGTCTATATAAATATTTTTATATATGTATATATAAATATTTTTATATATGTATATATGTCTATATAAATATTTTTATATATGTATATATAAATATTTTTATATATGTCTATATAAATACTTTTATATATGTATATATGTATATATAAATATTTTTATATATGTATATATGTATATATGAATATTTTCATAGATTTATATATGTATACATGAATATTTTCATAGATTCATATATGTATACATGAATATTTTTATAGATTCATATATGTATACATGAATATTTTTATAGATTCATATATGTATACATGAATATTTTTATAGATTCATATATGTATATATGAATATTTTTATAGATTCATATATGTATATATATTTATAGATTTATATATGTATATATATTTTTATAGATTTATATATGTATATATAATTATATAAATATTTTTATATATTATATATGTATATATGTGTACATAAATATTGTTATATATTTATATATGCGTACATTTAATATTGTTATATATTGGTATATGCGTACATAAATATTGTTATATATTTGTATATGCGTACATAAATATTGTTATATATTTGTATATGCGTACATAAATATTGTTATATATTTTTATATGCGTACGTAAATATTTTTATATATTTGTATATGCGTACGTAAATATTTTTATGTATTTGTGTATGCGTACGTAAATATTTGTATATTTTTGGGTATGCTATGTAAATATTTGTATATATTTGTGTATGCGTATGTAAATATTTTTATATATTTGTGTATGCGTATGTAAATATTTTTATATATTTGTGTATGCGTATATAAATATTTTTATATATTTGTGTATGCGTATATAAATGTTTGTATATATTTGTGTATGTGTATATAAATGTTGTATATATTTGTGTATGTGTATATATTTTTATATATTTGTGTATGTTTATATAAATATTTTATATATTTATATAATTAATTCATATATAAATGTAATATTTATATATTATATAATATAAATATAATATAATTATAAATATGATATAACTATAATGTATAATAAATATATTTATATATAATTAATAAAAATATATATTTATATAATTAAATTTTATAAAATTAGTATATAATAAATTATATATTAATGTAAAATATGTATAATATATAAAAAATATATATATATATATGCCTTTTGTTTGTTCCTTCACTAAAACTAAAGAGAACACTATGATGAATTTATCTGGTTAAGCCTTTCAGTGTTAAGACAATAAGATCTATTTAATGACTATTCTAATTTGAGTATTATGTTGCCAAATAAGTTTTATATCAAATTGTTTTCTGAGTGATAGGTAATACAAGATTGTAAAAATTTAGTATTTAAAGCAAAGTTGAGAACAATGTTTCTTGCCTGAAGGAGTGTAAGGAAATTATTTTATTACAATATTAGATTTTGTTAAAGTGGAAATATATGTGATAGCTCAATGCAATTCATTCACTCATTTTACAAATATGTGGGCAGCACCTGATATGGGTGACACAAAATGAAAAGTGTTTGGGGTATATTAGCAATCAGATAAGAATTTCTGTCTTCATTTTAGGGGAGGGAAATACACAATGGACCAAATAAGTACGTTCTTTTGTTTATTACAAGACTAAGAGCAAGCCAAGAGTGTTCTAAAATAAGAGTATAACATTTGCCCCAAGCTTAAGTAAAGAATGCCAATCAACTCCATGACAGCACCAAGGAATAGATTTTCAACATGCATTATTAATTGTCGATAAGGAATAATTGAGGAAAAGAGGCATACTTTTCTCTCTACTTCATTCAATATTGATGAATACAGATAAATTTATTTTAAGTTTAAATTATCTTTCACCCTAGCTGAGAACTACAAAATGTTACTTCATGAGTAAATTTTGTCCCAAAGAAAGTTCAAGTTAAGAATTCCCTTAAAAGGCATCATCAGTTTCTGTTTAACCTAGTAAATATCAAACTGGCCTTCAGGGAAAGTTTGCTTTAAACTCTTCTCTTTCATTAATTATTTTCACATTAGCTAATCGCACAGTCAAAATAATCCCTCCCATGAGGTCTAAAAATTTGGAAGTGATAAGAGCAGTACTTTTTCAGCTGGAAGAGATCTTACAAATGACCAATCCACAGGCCCAGAGGGATGAGTGGCTTGGCAGATATCATCCTTCTTAGCTTCATTCTAATAAATTATTGCTGCTAGAGAAATATGAATATGAAGAAGCACTTCTTTATCTACCTTCTTATATTTCCCCGCCATCCCTTTCTATCTGTTTTGATTCTATCTCACTTCTTCTCTTCATCTACCCCATCTTGCTCTCATTTTTCACCTCCTAAACCTACTCTTCTGATATTATTTTTTCAAATTTAGTGTTTTATATTTACCTTTCTTCTCTTTGCTCTTCAAAAGTTGAAGGTGTAAGGAGAATGGGAAAAGGGAAGATATCAAGAGATAAGCTTATGTTAATATGCTAGTGCTGGATGAGGTCGTGGGCTACAGATGTTCATCACATTAATTTTAAAAAAGAAAGAAGGAACAAAAGAAAGAAAAAGAGAAAAGGAGAGAATGAGACAGAGAGAGAGAGGGAAGAAGGAAGAAAGGAAAGGAGATCTTGCATAGATTTGTAATGACAGTGTATCACAGAATAAGGATTTTCATTAGTCTTATGTACATCTAGGGACACTTTAGAAGAAAGAGAAGAAGGTTGAAGAAGAGGAGGAGGAAGAAGACACTAGTAGTCTGCTAAAATACAATAGTACTTTCATTTGAAGAAAAAAGGCAAAGGCAAGGTCCAGTGGCTCACACCTGTTATCCCAAAACTTTGGGAGACCAGGATGGGAAGATAGCTTGAGCCCAGGAGCTTGAGACCAGCCTGGACCAAATGGCGAGACCCCCAACCCTGCATTTTTTTTTTTTTTTTTTTTTTTTTTTGAGACAAGAGTCTCGCTCTGTCGCCCAGGCTGGAGTGCAGGGGCGCAATCTTGGCTCACTGCAAGCTTCGCCTCCAGGGCTTACGCCATTCTCCTGCCTCGGCCTCCTGAGTAGCTGGGACTTCAGGTCCGCGCAACCACACCTGGCTAATTTTTTGTATTTTTAGTAGAGTTCACCGTGTTAGCCAGGATGGTCTTGATCTCCTGACCTCGTGATCCACCCGCCTTGGCCTCCCAAAGTGCTGGAATTACAGGCGTGAGCCACCGTGCCCGGCCTACAAAATTTTTTTGTTTTGTTTTGTTTTAATTAGCTGGGCATGGTATCACTCCCAGCTACTTGGGATGCTAAGATGGGAGAATCGCTTGAGGCTCAGGAAGTCAAGGCTGCAGTGATCCATGTTCATGCCACTGCACTCCAGCCCCGGCAAGAGTGAGACCTGTCTTAAAAAAAAAAAAAAGAAAAAAAAGAAAATGGGAAAAAGCAGCAAAGACGTTGTAACTGATTCTGAGTGAACAATAAAAATTTTGAAGTTCAATAGGAAATTTAGCAGAATTAGAACTAAGAAAGCTTGAATTATTTAACTTGAAAGTTATTACTGTTTTCTCTCGTTGGTATGCAAATACAGTGGACAATTACAGGAAGTAGCTATGGGACTTCAGAAAGCAGTTGAATAAATTTGAAAACCTTTCAAAATCTCTTTGTCAAATGAATTAAACGGCTTTTATCATTTTCTTTAACTGCAATATAGAACAAATTATTCTGTCACATGAAATTATTCTCATATCTTTCCCAGTGTTAGATAACAACTCTGATTTCAGAATTCCATTTCTGCTTAGTTGTGGCATAAACTCAGTAGACTGGACTTGCAAACGTCTTGACTCTATTCTTTTTCTTTTTTTACTAGAAATTTTAGTATTTACATTAACCACCAATAAATTTCACACATGATTATATTTATACCAGATTATTTAAATATTTCATCTTGTTCATCAATCAAGTTCATTTTAAGCAATCAAGTTTTTTCTTAATCCCTAGAAGATACAATTTGAAACAGTATTTCCAACTTTATTTTCCACCATTTATCATCAGCAATGTAATGCAGCCTCTTGTTGATTGCAGATTATATTTCTCATTGTTTAATTTCAAAATGCAAATATTTAATATCCCTCAAAGCTGATCAACTTCAAAATTCTCTTTGCTTTCCTGTTATCATGTCAATGAGAAGAACCAATAATACACACTAAGTTTATTAGTTATACACTGAGTTTAAGAAACTGAAAGTGGTTATGGTTACTCAAGAATTTGACTAAAGGTAGAAATGTGTACTTATAATTTTATAAAGAAACTCCTATAGGTTAGTTTAACTTTATATATTTTTGTTTAAATACATATTTACTATTTTACTATGTTAATTTCAGAAGGCAATTAGTCAAGAAGTCCATAAAAGCATTAACAATCCAAGATATCTCTTAATAACATGAATACGTGGTGAAACAGATAATCTGACTGTTTTGACCAAGGAGAGTAAAGGATAAATTATTGCATCTTCAACTTCCCACAATGAAAGATGAAAGCACACTGCTTGATAGACTTCTTTGAGTTTTGGAGTAAGCATGTTTCACCTTTAAGAGTGTCCCAACCTGTACACTAGGTGACATTAAAAGCTTTCGGCTTTCAGTGGAGCCCAGACCCAGATGTACTCTGTGGCAGGTCTGGACAGCTGCTGGGGCTGTATAGATGACTCTATGCTATTAAAGCTATCAGTGATGAGAAGAGATAACATATGTAGTTTATAGAAAAATCTAATAGAATAATCACAGTATCAACCAGGAGGGTTTTTTGACCTAGAACATATCTGCAGTCAAAAATTACACACCTTTTGCAAAATAGTTCCTGGCATGCTATTGAACCCTGGGAAAGACAGAGATATATGACTACAGGACATCAAGTGACCATATAATCAGAGCTGCCAATCATAAACTGGATTTTCTCAGACCCACTCAGTCATACAGTTGCAGGGCCTTGCAACAATTCTTTTTAAGATGAAAATGGGCATAAGCAGGACTTGCAAGCATAAACAACGTTCAAAACCAGGTAGCCCAGACTCTGTATCATCTACTACTGAGGAATTAGTGCCCCTCCCTGGGTTCAAACCTATAATTGCAATGGGGGTCCCTTATGGCAGCAGCCAAAGGAGGGAAACATGGAGCTTTGTTCACAGATGGATCATCATAGAATGCAGGTGCAGTTTAGAAATGGATGACAGGTGCACCCCAGTCCGCCTCAGGGGTGACCTTGAAAGACAGTGATTAGAAAAAAGTCCCGCCTGTGGGCAGAGCTTCAAGTAGTATTCCACTTGGCATACAATGAAAAATGGCCTGAGGTTAGAATGTATATCAAATCGCCACCTGCTAAAAGCCTGTCCAGCTGATTAGAAGCCTGGAGGGCTAAGGAGGTCTAGAGTAGAGCCATATTAGCTTAGAAGGTCTAGAGGAGAGGCACATGTTTAGACATACGAGAGTAAGCACAAAGCATAAGGATATTAATATTTCATGGTAACCACCAAAAAACAGTTGGCACGGAGGAGTCATAACACAACCACATAGACCAAAATGACTCAGCCAGAACATGTCACCCAGCCTCTGTTATTGGCCATTCCATTGCTTTCTCAATGAGCACAGGAATGAAGTAGCACATATGGGGTCTGATATGGTTTGGCTGTGACCCCACCCAAATCTCATCTTGAATTCCCACATGTTGTGGGAGGGACCCAATGGGAGGTGATTGAATTATGGGGGCAGGCATTGACGTCACTATTCTTGTGATAGTGAATAAGTCTCATGAGATCTGATGGATTTATAAGGTGGAATTTCCCTGCACAAGCTTTGTTTGTTTGTTTGTTTTTGCCTGCCACCATCCACATAAGATGTGACTTATTCCTCCTTGTCTTCTGCCATGATTGTGAGGCCTCTCCAGCCATGTGGAACTGTAAATCCAATTAAGCCTCTTTCTTTTGTAAATTGCCCGGTCTCAGGTATGTCTTTATCAGCAGCATTAAAATGGACTAATACAGGGTCTTAGGTGGAGGTTATGCATAGGCCCGACAGCATGGGCTCTCACCTCTCTAGGTTGGTCCAGCTGGTGTCGCTACCAAATGTCAAGCCTGCCATCAACAAAGAGCAGCTTTGCACTTCCAGTATGGCATACTATGTTAAGGAAAGTGACATCACATGTTAAAGAAAGATGGCAGATTAGTCTCGCTGGACTCCTTCTCCCCAGGCCTCTGGTGGTTCATGCTGATAGAATGGGTACATGTTCTGGGAAGAGGTTTGACTTACCTTCCTGCAGGGTCTGAGTCTGTCTCACTCTCTGAGGGCCTACAGTGTAACTGATTCACATGCATGATATTCTACATCATACCACACAGACCAACAGGTGTCACATGGCAAAGGAAGGGCACAGTGGGCCCATGGCTAAGGAATCCACTGGTCATAGTGCACCCTGCATTAATCAGAAGTGCACTGGAACAGCCTTGTAAAGTGACAGCTGAAGTGTCGGCTCAGAGGCAATACCTCCTAAGAATGCCGCAGCATCTTCACACATAGAAACGTTAAATTCAAATTAAAATTGTTTTAGGGTGCGCTTCTGAAAAGAAGAATACATGGGTCCAAGACCAAAGTGTGGAGGCAAAAATGGCTCTGCTTCTCCTTACCCTTAATGAACCAATTCAGGAATTTACATATCAAATCTGGACTCTGTATATTTCAAAGTTCTGGTTCCTGAAAGGCAAATACTTCATGCAGAGCATACCCCCTTTTTTAATCTCCCCAAATAGTCTGAAAAGATTTGTTATAGGATCATCTCCCCTAATTAACTGCAGGTTCATAAATGCAAACTCAATAGCTCATTTATAATTCTATAATTCTATATGTATATATATATGTGTGTGTGTGTGTGTGTATACATATAAAATGTCTTATGCATGCTTGAATGAATGATTATGAATAGCTACCATTTATTGGGCACTTACGTGCTAAGTATTTTCTATATAATTCTTTAATACACCCAGAAGCTCTATACATCATTATCTCCATTTTACATATATTGAGGTGCATGAAGCCACTGACTAAAAACACATTGTTAATAAATAGCAGAGCCAAGATTAAAACCCATTTGTCTGCTTCCAAATATTTTGCAGTATTTATTTGTATAGTATCTAAATGAATGCATATGGATGCAAAGAAATAACAGATAACCTAAACTATGACCACAGGAACATGAAAGATACCAAGAAGTTTGGGGTAAGTGTATGGATTAGGAGAAGTGAGTGGCTAATAACCAGGATTGTGGGATTGATTGTTTATTACATTCTTTCTTTCATATCTCCCCAACCAGTAGCTCTCCAACTTCATTTCTATAAATAGATAGTAGGTGTATTAGTCCATGATCATGCTGCTAATAAAGACATACCCAAGACTGTGTGATTTATAAAGGAAAGAGGTTTAATTGACTTACAGTTCCACATGACTGGGGAGGCCTCATAATCATGACAGAAGGCAAAGGAGGAGCAAAGTCACATCTCACATGGCAGCAGTCAAGAGAGCATGTGCGGGGAAACTCCTCTTTATAAAACCATCAGGTCTTGTAAGATTTATTCACTATCATAAGAACAGCACAGAAAAAATTCACCCCCATGATTCAATTACCTCCTACCCATTCCCTCCCATGTCATGTGGGGATTATTACAATTCAAGGTGAGATTTGGGTGGGGACACAGAGCCAAACCATATAAATTGGTTAAATAAATCCACACAGTAAAGATAAAAGAGAGATGGCAGGAGCAAGGGAGAAGAGAGAGGGAAGAAGAAGAAAGTAATTGCTGGGGGTTGACTCGGGTTGTATTTTGCACATGGGGGTGCTGCAATATCTCTCATCTTATATGCTTCTTAGGAACTGGTTACATCATGTCTTGGTGCTGTAAGCCTAGGTGGCCTTTTGTAATTTCCTTGTTGTATGCAGTATGCTAGAATTGATGTTCTGTGACTTCTGAAGCTAGATCATACACTCCCATGCACTTCTGCTTTGCTTTCTTGTGAGGCTTGCTTTTGGAACCCACCCACCACGCTCCTGCTCTGAGGATGCCCAGTCAGCCATGGGTGCCAATCCCACTAGCACAGCTGAAGTCCCACATACTCTTCAGTCATGTGAGTGAACTATTTTGAAAGTGGGTCTTCTAGCCCCTGTTAGGGCAGCCTTTGATAATGCTATGAGGAGCAGGGAAGAATCATTCCAACAAAGCTCTACTCAAATTGCAAATTTATGAGTAAAATAAATGGCTGTTGTTTTAAGCCATTATGATTTGTGGTAATATGTTATGCAGCAATAATTAACCAAAACAAGAATCTTCAGAAAAATCACCAAATTGATTCAGTTCAATTCATTCAATTTCAAGAGAATCCAATTTTCAAAATGTCAGACAATTTTATCATGCATACATATCTTTGAAAACAGTTTAAAATATATAATAATTTATTTAGAATAAGATGTAATACTAGAATTGTAATGCTTAAGCAAGAGGCAAACCAGAAGAAATTTTTTGTAAAGAATCCATGACATAAATAGATTAATCAAAATTGTTTCAACCTCTTGGTTGTTGTTTAATGAACATTTTTTATTATCTATTCTTATATGCTATACTCCAAACATACTGGTTATGAGGAAATATCTCAGTTAATATTCTGGGGTGTGTTTTACTATTTCTAAGTTATGTGATAAAATTCTGTTTGTTTTATTGTAGTTCTTCAGCTTTGACGACAATCCTCAAAATAACAAACTCTTTCCTTGATGAGTAATTGCTATTAATAATTTTCTAACTCACTATATCAATATAATTACAATTATTTTTAAATCTTAGCTATTCTATAAATATCATTAATATTGTAATATATCACTCATACTCTGGTGTCTTGTTAAAACTATATATCTCTTAAACTTAGTTTTGAATAATCTTTTGTGAGAAGAAAACTCAGAATCTAAAATATTTTCACTTTTCATAACAATGATACCTATTTTTGGTAGGTTTTTGTTTGACTTCTGTTAAGGAAGCTGATCAGAAACTGACTTCATTACTAGTTCCAAGGATGAGGCATCATTGATCCAGAGTTAATTCCACCACTTTGATCACTTTGATACAAAGATTGATTCAGAGGTTGGCTTATGACTCTATTCACACACATATGACTCGAGGGGAGTTTTGCTGGAAGCTTCTGGGAAGAAATATCTTAGCGTATGAGCCACAGAAAAAGAAACTCTGCTCATCTCTGGGAAACTTAGTGTGTGGAAAGCCTGAAATTGCTGTATGCATTTTACTGTTGTGAAAGAGGCTAACTTCTGGATGAAGCTAGCACACAGAAGAGGGGCCAGATGACAAAGTCAGAGAACAATGAAACTGGATTAGGCCTGAAGCAAAGCCTTCCCTGTCTGACATGGACTTCCAGCCATGTAAGCCAATTAATATATGGGGTACAGGAGATTGAATTGTGAATCCTATTACTTGCTCCTCAAAGACAGGATATAATTCAATAATAAATCCACATTTTATAGTGGAATTGTTCTCGGACCAAACCAAGGGTCAGGCTGCATATTTTTGTGGCCCAATAACGAGATGAAGATGAACTGGGAAAGAACAGAGTTTATTTCTGTAACCGGGTATAGGAAGAAGGCTGGGGAAATATCACCAGACCAACTCAAAATTACAAAGTTTTGCAGAGCTTATATAACTTCTAAGCTATATGTCTACATGTAAGTGTGCATTCATCTAAAGACATAAGTGATTAACTTCTAATCTATAACTAAGATCTGAGTCTTGAAGACCTTCCTCTGGAGCCTGAGTAAATTTACTTAATCTAAATGGGTCCAGGTACCACAGAGATTACCCTTATCTTGTCTCCTACTAAATCATGGAGGTTTGGGGAGTTCCTTTAGTCCCCAGTAAAGCTTGCTTGTGGCAGTCTGGGGAGGTCCTTCAGGCCCCCAATAAAACATATTTAATTGTAAAGGGGTCCTGTTAAGAATTCCTTCGTTATCTTGTCATGCTCCAAGGCCCAAGAAAGGACTAGGCAAAACTATTGGTGGGATTTTGTTGCATTCCAGCCTACGTATGAGGACACTGGCTCTATTAAACTTAACTACTCAGTGCTGAAACAGTTGCCATGGAGGCCTGCCTGTTCAGCTGTTAGTGAGACCTGGCCTGCCACAGGATCACCTAAAGTAAGAAGAAAAAAGTGGACCTGATACATTTATAGTATCATGGAGGAAAGGACTTATGAACGAGTATCAATTTTTTTGTTTGTTTTTTTGAGATGGAGTCTTGCTCTGTTGCCCAGGCTGGAGTGCCATGGCACAATCTCGGCTCACTGCAACCTCTGCTTTCCAGGTGGAAGCGATTCTCCTGCCTCAGCCTCCTAGGTAGCTAGGATTACAGGCATGCACCACCACACCCAGCTAATTTTTGTTTTTTTTTCAGTAGAGATGGGTTTTCACCATGTTGGCCAGGCTGGTCTCAAACTCCTGACCTCAGGTGATAGACCAGCCTTGGCCTCCCAAAGTGCTGGGGTTACAGGAGTGAGCCACCATGCCCGGCCTGATTTTTAAAATACGTAATTATCTTTAAAATAAGTGACTGATCATTCCACATTAATAACCTACCATGTGTCCCAGGCCTTAGTCACCTATACCCCTATCTCAAGCATTGAAAAAGAAAAACCAAGATCTTTCTTTATTGCCTAGAACAATGTTAGAGACTAAGAGGTAGAAATTTGTTTTTCTAAAAATTGTTAGTATATTAGAGCTCACAGCAAGAGAGCTCCATGGTTCTGATCTGATTCTGAGGGATTAGGCTGTGGAAACTCGGCATCACATATCAGAGGTTGTATTTACAGTAGGTACAAGCCTGCTTAGCCTTCAGAGCAAATGGCTGTGTACTGTAGCCTGTTTGATTGACACAGATTCTTCATAGAAGCCAATTATTTTCCTAAAATGGATTTTTGTTAAATAATATTATCCATGTGGGTTTCTTACTTACCTCATAAAATCTTGCCTGTGGCCTTGCACGATAGACTTTTAAAGATTAGTTTTGTAAAAAAAAAAAATAAATGAAGTAGGTCACAAGTAAGAGTCTACCAGTGTTACTTTTATGTAGAGTCAAAATGTCAGTGGACAAAGAAAATGGTTTCATTACTTTCTGTTAAATTGGCTAGTTTAAATACTTAAATAGTAGATGCTGTTTAAAAGCATGTTAAAGTTTTCTCCTGGTATATGGTTTGCTGATCATTATTTTATGTATAGAAAAGGGAATTATCATGAAAGAAAATTTAGTTATCCTTGTGGAAGAATTTCACAGGTGCTAGTTTAATGTGAAATTTTTTCTAGGCAGTGTTAAATTTTTAAAGTGGAAAATGATTGCTAATAAACTATGATAATTTCCTTTTATATATTTTATTACAGGAAAGAGCTTTGGAGGAACACAGTGGTCACCATTTCAATGTTATCAATTACGCTTTTATGGCCATCAATGAATGTTAAAAGTTGAATTGTGACATCGACTATAGGGCTTCATGGATATAAGAGCAGCTTAGATATAGGGGCTTAGAAACCATTATCTCCATTGTGATTACCTATCAATTAGAGGTTAAAGAAATGTTACAGAAATTGTGTCTCTTTTTATTCTATGGAAAATACCTTTAAATATGTTTGCTATAGTTTGCAAATTATTTTGTCCTTTACTAAAACTCAGTAATAAAAATTTGGAGAATATCTTTTATATTATAATGAGACTCAGCTGATCTGCAATCTTATTTTGATCAGTCCCTTGATAAAGGTGCACTTGGCTTCAACAATCCTAGAGTTTATAAAGTCAAAAATAGTTTAATAAATTTACTAAAGTATAAACTAATATTTTGATGAAAATAATTGGTTTTTCTATTTATACTTTTGTTAAATTGGAATTTCAAATGGCTTAAATGGAAAGAGAAATACGTTACTTCCTCCATGGTTTAAGTATTTTGCTTGGATACAGACTCCAGGATAGTTTATACCACGTGTGGTGGTTTTAAAGTCATAGGACAGTTTTCTTGGTAGTGTGACTATCACCACTAGCTGTTAGAGTGAAGGACCTCTTTTGGTTTAGAATGGTTTCTGCTATTGGGAATTGGAGAGTTACGCTTAACCAGAGGTGCCCATCAAATTATCAAAATGATCATTTAAAGATCTTTTCTTAAAATACTCAATGTCTTACCTGCCACCTACAGGTATTGATATCTTCTATATTACATGAAGACAGGTAGAATATAGAAGTCAGTAGAGGATAGAAAATTCAAATATACATTTCAGATATTTACAATATTCTGATACTTTGTTTCTTCAATTGCTAACCACCGACCTAGATTTTAAAAATTCATGCCTGGTGCCTGTGACATAGCCTGGAAAGAAGAGACAAAAATGCTTGTTCTTGGAATAGCTAATGCATATAAAATAAGTCAGGCGTATTTTTTATCCATCTGTCTATCCCAACTATAGTATATTAATCCAAATCTAAACAAATTTGGTCCATTCAATATAAAATTACTTATCAATCAAAATTTGCTAGAACTTGTTAAAAAAGCAATGGTATTGATAGTTTTAAATGTTCTTGTATTATTGTGCTTATAGCAATTTAATATATTTTTACCAATATTGGCTTACAATTTTGAACAGCAGAGTGATAGGATTTTGTTTTCCTAAATTTAGATTCTTGCAAATAGCTTTCCTGAAATCCAGACATAAATTGGCTGTAATTGATTTTCTTAAGGTGGCAGAAGCTTTGGCAGCTCAACAAAAGTAAACAGAAACGTATTAATCTAATTCTGACTCAAAAAAATATTCTACACTCATTAGAATTTTCAGTGGTGGGACTTAAAAACACAAATGTATGTGAGATACCAGAATCTATATTCAAATATCATCATATATCAAATATGTCACAGTATCTGAACACAATGCTTTAAACTTATAAAACTTCCATTCAGTTATTTAAATACTTTTTTTTAATCACATGAGAACTTCAAATTTCTTGATATCTATTTTTCTTATAGTCTAAAACTTCAACTACTCTCTTGGAAGAACTTTCATTTCCTTTTCTATCACTGCTGCACATTCATGAAAGTAATTTCATTCATAGATCGATATAAAGTTTTCCTTTTCTTTGTGTTGGTATAAAAATAATTATGTAACCAGGTGGTTTGGTAGCATTATAAATTCCAGGGTTGCAACTTCAATTGGGCCCTCAAATGCCTTTTTAAAAAACATCATTTTCTAGCATTTATAGTGAGCTTTCTCACGCTTTGTAACAGCATCCAAGTAGTATATTTGTTCTCACAAAAGTGCTGGGCAGTAAATGCTCTTTTATCTCACTTTTTAAAAGTTTTAATTGACAAATAAAAATTGTATATATTTATCATGTTTATCATAATGTTTTGAAATATCCCATGGAATAGCTAAATCGAGCTAATTAACATATACAATGCCTCAAAGATATCTTTGCTTATTACCACAAATAAATCATGAGTAAAGAATTAATTTCTCCTCAACAAATCTACAAAAGTAACTACAACTGTACACATCTGATTTTGCTACTACCCTGGTCTCCATGTGAAGTACTTCCCAAGGGTCAATCTTGTGACCTGTTTTATATTTCCACCAACCAATTACCCAATTTACATGAATAGACATGCTTAGCTACATACTTCTCTCTATCTCTCTTATTATTATTTTCTAGTGAGCCAGTTTTCCCATAGAAAACCTTCATTTAGATTTCTGTGCTTAACCTTTATAAGAACAGAGTTCTAGGAGGTGTTCAGAGTTGAGGGTAAATTTTAGCATGCAATGTAAGCAAGCCCATTTGACTACAGCCCTAAGCCATCTCTTCCAATGTACCTTTCTTCCAGGTAAAATAGACATTTAAATCTCTATTCTCTTATGCTACCATCTGTGTGTGTCTTTCAGTTGCTTCAGAGCTTGGACAAAGAAAAGAGACTTTTTACTGACATTCATAATATCCAAGAACCTCCTTGCTGACTGTCATTATAGTATAATGGAAATCTTATGGTTCCACTGATCTAAGGCTAATACTCCACTGTGGTCAGCATGCCATCTCTACTGCCCTAAAAATTCATTCAATTGATTTATCTCAGCACATTTTTTATCAAATTCTATTTCTCCCAGACTCTTTCTATCAATATTTAAATATGACTAACCTCACTTTTTTTAAGGTTTTTAAATTTAGGTTTTCATTGACAGATAAAAATTGTATATATTTACTGTGTACAACATGTTTTTGAAATATGTATACATTGTGTAATGACTAAATTGAGCTAAATAACATATGCATTATTACCTCACATAGTTATTATTTTGATGAGAACACTTGAAATAGTATAACTACTATTTTAGCAATTTTCGAGAATACATTATTATTAACTATAGTGACCATATTGTACAATAGACCCCTTGAGCTTATTCCTCCTATCTAGCAGAAATCTTGTATCCTTTGAGGGATATCTCCTCAACTCCCCCTTCTTTCAGCCCCTAGTAGCCACTACTCTATTCTCTACTTCTGTGAGTTCAGCATTGTTAGATTCCACATCTAAGTGAGATCACACAGTATTTGTCTTTCTGTGCCTGACTTATTTCACTGAACATAATGTCCTCCCAGCTCATTCATCCATATTTTCAAAGTGGAAAATAAAACTAAGCCCATTTCTTCAACTAGTGTGTAATCTCTTCCCTATCTTCTCAAAGCCACTCTTTTGAAAAGCACTATTTATATTCATGATATCTATTTTTTCATAGTTCTTTTGACACATCACTGCACAATAATTTGAGTTGTTTCTTCATTAATTACTCCACTGAAATTGTTCTTCCTAAAATCATCAGTGTAGATATTCTGAGAACTTTACCTGTTAGGTCTGCAATACGCACCAAATGCTGAACATGCATCGACCCTTAAATGACTCTCTTCCTATGACTTTGATGACATTGTTTTCTTCTGATTTTTCAGTTACACTTCTGGGTGCTCTTCTTGAGTTATTTTTCCTTCAATGATAATAATTCCTACTCATCTTAGTTCTTCTCTCATCTTTCAGTCTCTTCTTTTTATATGATCCCCATTACTCCAGAGATTTCAGTTACTCACCATATAATTGTGATGATAAGCCATCTTACTGAAAATTTTTACTTGGCTGTTTCACAAAGACTTTCAATACAAAATGTCCAAAAAAGAATGTCATCATTTTATTATCTCTATGAATGCTACGATATTTGAATGAATGCATAACTTATTATCCATACTGTAAGACTTTTGAAGTTAATGGAGGGGTTAACTGCGTGGGATGCCCACATGTAAGTCAGGACTCTTTTAAGAAAACTGGAAAAATATGTCACACTAACTATTTGTTCATGGGCTTGCCGAAACCAGAAACCTAGAATTCATACTGGTACTAAAGGATAATAAGATCGTCACTGAATATCTGAAATGAGGAAACAGAAGGCACAATTTCTGCTTGCTCTAGAAATGAGAAACTATGCTTATCAGGCACAGTCTCTCTTAATAGAAGGGACTGATGACCTTATATGGGTTTAGAGGAAGTATGGGGGTGAAGATTGGTGTATCTTCAACTGGGTAGAAGCATTATTACTCATGTGAGACTATTTAATGTTTGATATTCTGAAATATGTTTCTTGGAGTGAATCCCTTCTTGCCTGGGTGGCTTTCAGAAGGAAAGGACTATTGCTCACTGGTTAACTTGCAATAGAGATCATGTTTATTAAGGAGAGATTTTGTTTGTTTTAGTTTGGTTTCAACTGATAGATCAGTTTAATACCAGTTCTGTTGGCTTTGGAACAATATCAGTCTTTCCTAGAATGTGTGAAATTTCAAAAACTGTTGAACTCTCCTTTCCATTCTCGCTCAGCTGATGCTACAGGAAGCCCATCAAGACTTGTTCAGATCTTCATGTTGTGATTCTTATTGAAAATGTGATTCTGTCTGCAGAAATAATTATTTTCAGCTTAAGCATTAATCAGCAGCATTTTATGCTCTTTGTTTTTTCTATTTGAAAGATTTGTTGAATCATCTTCTGGTAAAGTTTAGAGACAGGACATTTTATCTTAGGATAACAGACATTGAATAACTGTGAGACAAGTAAGTACAACTAAGAATATTATAAGAAGGGGCACAATTGAGGTGGGAGGTTTCAAGATGGCCGAATAGGAACAGCTCCAGTCTACAGCTCCCAGCATGAGTGACATAGAAGACGGGTGATTTCTGCATTTCCAACTGAGCAAAGAGCACACCAGGAGACTATATCCCACGCCTGGCTCAGAGGGTCCCACGCCCATGGAGCTTTGCTCACTGCTAGCTCAGCAGTCTGAGACCGAACTGCAAGGTGGCAGCGAGGCTGGGGGAGGGGTGCCCGCCCTTGCTGAGGCTTGAGTAGGTAAACAAGGCAGCCAGGAAGCTCGAACTGGGTGGAGCCCACCGCAGCTCAAGGAGGCCTGCCTGCCTCTGCAGACTTCACCTCTGGGGGCAGGGCATAGCTGAACAAAAGGCAGCAGAAACTTCTGCAGACTTAAACGTCCTTGTCTGACAGCTTTGAAGAGAGTAGTGGATCTTCCATAACGGAGTTTGAGATCTGAGAATGGAAAGACTGCCTCTTCAAGTCGGTCCCTGACCCCCAAGTAGCCTAACTGGGAGGCATCTCCCAGTAGGGGCTGACTGACACCTCACACGGCCGAGTGCCCCTCTGAGATGAAGCTTCCAGAGGAATGATCAGGCAGCAACATTTACCATTCTGCAATATTTACGGTTCTGCAGCCTCCGCTGGTGATACCCAGGCAAACAGGGTCTGAAGCGGACCTGCAGCAAACTCCAACAGACCTGTAGCTGAGGGTCCTGACTGTTAGAAGGAAAACTAACAAACAGAAAGGGCATCCACACCAAAACCCCATCTGTACATCAACATTATCAAAGACCAAAGGTAGATAAACCACAAAGAAGGGGGGAGAAACCAGAGCAGAAAAGCTGAAAATTCTAAAAATCAGAGTGCCTCTTCTCCAAAGGAACACAGCTCCTTACCAGCAATGGAACAAAGCTGGACAGAGAATGACTCTGACGATTTGAGAGAAGAAGGCTTTAGAAGATTGGTAATAACAAACTTCTCTGAGCTAAAGGAGGGTGTTTGAACCCATCACAAAGAAGCTAAAAACCTTGAAAAAAGATTAGACGAATGTCTGACTAGAATAACCAGCGTAGAGAAGACCTTAAATGACCTGACGGAGCTGAAAACCATGGTATGAGAACTACGTGACACATGCACAAGCTTCAGTAGCTGATTTGAAGAAAGGGTATCAGTGATTGAAGATCAAATAAATGAACTGAAGCGAGAAGAGAAGTTTAGAGAAAAAAGAGTAAAAAGAAATGAACAAAGCCTCCAAGAAATATGGGACTACGTGAAAAGACCAAATCTATATCTGATTGGTGTACCTGAAAGTGATGGGGAGAATTGAACCAAGTTGGAAAACACTCTTCAGGATATTATCCAGGAGAACTTCCCCAACCTAGCAAGGCAGGCCAACATTCAAATTCAGTAAATACAGAGAACACCACAAAGATACTCCCTGAGAAGAGCAACTCCAAGACACATAATTGTCATATTCACCAAAGTTGAAATGAAGGAAAAAATGTTAAGGGCAGCCAGAGAGAAAGGTTGGGTTACCCACAAAGGAAAGCCAATCAGACTAACAGCAGATCTCTTGACAAAAACTCTACAAGCCAGAAGACAGTGGGGGCCAATATTCAACATTCTTAAAGAAAAGAATTTTTAACCCAGAATTTCATACCCAGCCAAACTAAGCTTCATAAGTGAAGGAGAAATAAAATCCTTTACAGACAAGCAAATGCTGAGAGATTTTGTCACCACCAGGCCTGCCCTAAAAGAGCTCCTGAAGGAAGCACTAAACATGGAAAGGAACAAGCAGTACCAGCTACAGCAAAAACATGCCAAATTGTAAAGATCATCAAGGCTAGGAAGAAACTGCATCAACTAATGAGCAAAATAACTAGCTAATATCATGATGACAGGATCAAATTCACACATAACAATATTAACCTTAAATGTAAATGGGCTAAATGCTCCAATTAAAAGACACAGACTGGCAAATTGGATAAAGAGTCAAGACCCATCAGTGTGCTATATTCAGAAGACCCATCTCATGTGCAGAGACACACATAGGCTCAAAATAAAGGGATGGAGGAAAATCTACCAAGCAAATGGAAAACAAAAAAAAAGCAGGGGTTGCAATCCTAGTCTCTGATAAAACAGACTTTAAACCAACAAAGATCAGAAGAGACAAAGAAGGCCATTACATAATGGTAAAGGGATCAATTCAACAAGGCTAACTATCCTCAATATATATGCACCCAATACAGGAGCACCCAGATTCATAAAGCAAGTCCTTAGAGACCTACAAAGAGACTTAGACTCTCACGCAATAATAATGGGAGACTTTAACACCCCACTGTCAACATTAGACAGATCCACAAGGCAGAAAGTTAACAAACATATCCAGGAATTGAACTCAGCTCTGCACCAAGCAGACCTAATACATATCTACAAAACTCTCCACCCCAAATCAACAGAATATACATTCTTCTCAGCACCACATCACACACTTATTCCAAAATTGACCACATAGTTGGAAGTAAAGCACTCCTCAGCAAACATAAAAGAACAGAAATTATAACAAACTGTCTTTCAGACCACAGTGCAATCAAACTAGAACTCAGGATTAATAAACTCACTCAAAACCGCTCAACTACATGGAAACTGAACAACCTGCTCCTGAATGACTACTGGGTACATAACGAAATGAAAGCAGAAATAAAGATGTTCCTTGAAACCAATGAGAACAAAGACACAACATACCAGAATCTCTGGGACAAATTTAAGGCAATGTGTAGAGGGAAATTTATAGCACTAAATGCCCACAAAAGAAAGCAGGGAAGATCTAAAATTGACACCTTAACATCACAATTAAAAGAACTAGAGAAGCAAGAGCAAACACATTCAAAAGCTAGCAGAAGGAAAGAAATAACTAAGATCAGAGCAGAACTGAAGGAGATAGAGACACAAAAAAACCCTTCAAAAAATCAGTGAATCCAGGAGCTAATTTTTTTGAAAAGATCAACAAAATTGATAGATCGCTAGCAAGACTAATGAAGAAAAGAGAGAAGAATCAAATAGACACAATAAAAAATGATAAAGGGGATATCACCATCGATCCCACAGAGATGCAAACTACCATCAGAGAATACTATAAACACCTCTACACAAATAAACTAGAAAATCTAGAATAAATAGATAAATTCCTGGACACATACACCCTCCCAAGACTAAACCAGGAAGAAGTTGAATCCCTGAATAGACTAATAACAGGCTCTGAAATTGAGGCAATAATTAAGAGCCTATCAACCAAAACATGTCCAGGACCAGACAGATTCACAGCTGAATTCTACCAGAGGTACAAAGAGGAGCTGGTACTATTCCTTCTGAAAATATTCCAATGAATAGGAAAAGAGGTAATCCTCCCTAACTCATTTTATGAGGCCAGCATCATCCGGAAACCAAAGCCTGGCAGAGACATAAAAGAGAATTTTAGACCAATATCACTGATGAACATCGATGCAAATATCCTCAATAAAATACTGGCAAACCGAATCCAGCAGCACATCAAAAAGCTTATCCACCATGATCAAGTGGGCTTCATCCCTGTGATGCAAGGCGGGTTCAACATATGCAAATCAATAAATGTAATCCATCGTATAAACATAACCAAAGACAAAAACCACATGATTGTCTCAATAGATGCAGAAAAGTTCTTCCACAAAATTCAACAGCCTTTCATGCTAAAAACTCTCAATAAATTAGGTATTGATGGGACGTATCTCAAAATAATAAGAGCTATTTATGACAAACCCACAGCCAATATCATACTGAATGGGCAAAAACTGGAAGCATTCCCTTTGAAAACTGGCACAAGACAGGGATGCCCTCTCTCACAACTCCTATACAACGTAGTGTTGGAAGTTCTGGCCAGGTCAATAAGGCAGGAGAAAGAAATAAAGGGTATTCAATTAGAAAAAGAGGAAATCAAATTGTCCCTGTTTGCAGATGACATGATTGTATATTTAGGAAACCCCATTGTCTCAGCCCAAAATCTCCTTAAGCTGATAAGCAACTTCAGCAAATTCTCAGGATACAAAATCAATGTGCAAAAATCACAGGCATTCCTATACACCAATAACAGACAAACAGAGAGCTAAATCATGAGTGAACTCCCATTCACAATTGCTTCAAAGAGAATAAAATACCTAGGAATCCAACTTACAAGAGATGTGAGGGATCTCTTCAAGGAGAATTACAAACCACTGCTTAACAAAATAAAACAGGACACAAACAAATGGAAGAACATTTCATGCTCATGGCTAGGAAGAATCAATATTGTGAAAATGGCCATACCGCCCAAGGTAATTTATAGATTCAATACCATCCCCATCAAGCTACCAATGACTTTATTCACAGAATTGGAAAAAACTACTTTAAAGTTCATATGCAACCCAAAAAGAGCCCGCATTGTCAAGACAATCCTAAGCCAAAAGAACAAAGCTGGAGGCATCATGCTACCTGACTTCAACCTATACTACAAGGCTACAGTAACCAAAACAGCATGGTACTGCTACCAAAACAGAGATATAGACCAATGGAACAGAACAGAGCCCTCAGAAGAAGTACCACACATCTACAACCATCTGATCTATGACAAAGTTGACAAAAACAAGAAATGGGGAAAGGATTCCCTATTTAATAAATGGTGCTGGGAAAACTGGCTAGCCATATGTAGAAAGCTGAAACGATCCCTTCCTTACACCTTATACAAAAATTAATTCAAGATGGATTAAAGACTTAAATATCAGACCTAAAACCGTAAAAACCCTAGAAGAAAACCTAGGCAATACCATTCAGGACATAGGCATGGGCAAGGACTTCATGTCTAAAACACCAAAAGCAATGGCAACAAAAGCCAAAATTGACAAATGGGATCTAATTAAACTAAAGAGCTTCTGCACTGCAAAAGAAACTACTGTCAGAGTATTGTAGTCCAGAACAATAAATATCTAATAAAATAATTCTGCAGCACATTTGTATATTTCTTCTTGTGGTTTAGAAAAATCTGTAACTACAGTCCTCAATTTGACCTGACGCCCTGAGTTCGAACAGCCATCTTACATCATGGAGTAACCCTGGGCAAGTAAGCTAAATGCTAAAGGCATTCAGAGAAGAAAAATAGAAAATTCCTTGTAGATTCTGGATAGTAGACCTTTGTCAGACAGATAGATTGCAAAAATTTTCTTCCACTCTGTAGTTTGCCTGTTCACTCTGATGATAGTTTCTTTTGCTGTACAGAAACTCTTTGTTTAATTAGATCTCATTTGTCAATCTTTGCTTTTGTTGCAATTGCTTTTGGTGATTTCATAATGAAATCTTTGCCCATGCTTATGTCCTTAATGGTATTGCCTAGATATACTTCTAGAGTTTCTACAGTTTTGTGTTTACATTTTTCTTGAATACATCTTGAGTTACTTTTTGTAGAAGGTGTAAGGAAGGGATCCAGTTTCAATTTTCTGCATATGGCTAGCCAGTTCTCCCAGCACCATTTATTAAATAGGGAATCCATTCCCCATTGCTTGTTTTTGTCAGGTTTGTGAAAGATCAGATGGTTGTAGATGTGCGGTCTTATTTCTGAGTTCTCTGTTCTATTCCATTGGAAATTTACAAGGAAAAAAACACAACCCCATTAAAAAGTGGGCAAAGGACATGAATAGACACTTCTCAAAAGAAGACATTCATGTGGCCAACAAACATGAAAAATGGTCAACATCACCGATCATTAGGGAAATGCAAATCAAAACCAAAATGAGATACCACCTCACACCAGTCAGAATGGCAATTATTAAAAAGTCAAGAAACAACAGATGCTGGTGAGGCTGTGGAGAAATAGGAAGAGGAACACGCTTTTTTTCTTTTTTTTTTTTTTTTTGTTTGAGATGGACTTTACTCTGTCGCACAGGCTGGAGTGCAGGGGCGCGATCTTGGCTCATTGCAACCTCTGCCTCCTGGAGTCAAGTGATTCTCCTGCCTCAGCCTACCGAGTAGCTGGGATTACAGGCGCCCGCCACCATGCCCAGCTAATTTTTGTATTTTTAGTAGAGATGAGGTTTCACCATGTTGGCTAGGCTGGTCTCGACCTCCGGAACTCAGGTGATCTGTCCACCTTGGCCTCCCAAAGTGCTGGGATTACAGGCATGAACCACCACGCACACCTGGCCAATAGGAACACTCTTACACTGTTGATGGGAATGTAAATTAGTTCAACCATTGTGGAAAATTCCTCAAAGATATAGAACCAGAAATACCATTTAACCCAGCAATCCCAAAGAAATATAAATCATTCTATTAAAAAGAGACATACACATGTATGTTTATTGCAGCACTATTCACAATAGCAAAGACACAGAATCAACCCAAATGCCTATCAATGATAGACTGGATAAAGAAAATGTGACACATATATACTACCATGGAATACTACACAGCTATCAAAAGGAATGAGATCATGTCCTTTGCAGGGACATGCGTAGTGCTGGAAGCCATCAGCCTCAGCAAACTAATGCAGGAACAGAAAACCAAACACCACATGTTCTCACTCATAAGTGGGAGCTGAACAATGAGAACACATGGACATGGGGAGGGGAACAACACACATTGGGGCCTGTCAGGGGTTGGGGTGGGAGGAGGAAGAGCATTAGGAAAAATAGCTAATGCATGCTGAACTTAATATCTAGGTGATGGTTTGATAGGTGCAGCAAATCTGGCACACGTTTACCTATGTAACAAACCTGGACGTCCTGCACATGTACCCCACAACTTAAAATAGAAATAAAAATTTAAAAAAGAGAAAGAAAATTCCTTGGTTAGTGACTTCACAGTTTTCCTTCAATATCAGCTTTTGACCAGCTACCACTGAACTTCCTTTACTTGAGAATAAACCTGGTTTCTGAAATCACTATATTTGAGTCCTTTCATCAGCAACTAAACTTGGATTCAAACTAATAGAAAATTTTAAAGTAAATATAAGCAAACATAATGCAAAGTACAGTTGACCTTTGATCAACACAGGATTGAGCTGTGCAGGTCCACTCCTATGCAGATCTTCCACCTTTGCTACCCCTGAGACAGCAACACCAACCCCTCCTCTTCAGCCTCCTCCTCAGCTCACTCAACATGGCGAAGAGAATGAAGGCTTTTATGATGATCCACTTCCACTTAATGAATAGTAAATATATTTTCTTTTCCTTATGGTTTTCTTGATAACATTTTCTTTCCCCTAAACTTTTGATAGAGAAAAGAATGTTTACTTTATTGTAAGAATACAATAGATAACACATATAGCATACAATATATGTGTCAATTAACTGTGTGTTTTGTTGGTAAGGCTTCCAGTAAACAGTAGGCTATGAGTAGTTAAGTTTTTGGGAACTCAAAATTTATACACAGATGTTGAACTGCATAAGGGGGTGATCAGCACCCTTAACCCCACATTGTTCAAGGAGCAACTGCAAATATAAATATAAACAAGAATAGTAGGTAATGAATTGCAGGTTAATAGGCTAGAAACAAAACAGCAATAAAACAGAAACCTTTAGGCAGCACAGATGAAAAAGAATGTAGTAGTCTTTCAGGTTGCTTCATGACTACTGTTGGAGTTGCATGAGGAAGTGGGGAAAACTTCATCCTAACAAAATACATAAAGAATCTGCATTTGGTAATATCTTAATGATGCTCCTTTCTCTGCAGGTTAGATAGCATTGTTGCAGAATACAAATAGAAGCAAGAAATGAAATCTCTAATTTCTCTAATGAAATGAAGACCTCTTTTTTAAAGGAATGTCTTTGTAAGATTATTAATAGAACATGTCTGAATATTTCTTAAAAATTCAGTGTTTTTAATGTAGTTGAAAAATTAGGAGAACTTAGAAATGCTGTTCTTAGCAAATGCTGCCGTATGTAGCGTGTACTGTCCACAAATATTCCCTCCTCGTTTTCTTCCTGCTTGTTTTTTTCTTCATTATTATTACTGATATTCTTAACTCAGTTGCACAATTTGGTCTTTTTAGACATGTAACTTTCTTCACTGTTAATTAAGGGTTTGGACGAGATCTTTGTGGACTCTACTAGTTCTGGCCTTTTATATTATTATGCTTCATATAACATTATGAAAGGATGTTAATGTCATAGAAGTAATAATTACAAAAAATCTGGAAGATATATAGGATATAATGGAAATTAAAATCTTCTTCCTAGGCGTTAGTAATTTATAATGAATAGTATTATGGTACTTTTTCAGATGGGTCAGTTGTTTCTAGAAATCTTGGAATAAATTCAATTTAAATAGATTTAACTGAAAAATATCAACTTTACAAGATCTTTAATACTATAGATACATGTATATGCTATACAGTCTGTATATACTATGTTGTGTATATATATAATATATGTTTGCTATTCATTATGTAATACTACATTACATATAATGTCAACTTGGTATTCATTTATTCATTTATTAACAAATATAAATACTGCTTGAGCTCTTGATACAGTTCTAGATGTAGTATTACTTCTGTGACAAAGAACAGAAGACAATTTCACAATAATCTCTGAAGAGCTTTCCGTACTTCTCTCCAGTGGGAGAGAGATTGAGAGCCTTCCCCAGTCTAGATTCTCATTTCCTTCTCACTTTTGGACAGATCACTACACTTCTATTTACCAAGGCACATTTCTGTAACCTTTTATCCACTTTCTGAAACAGTTCCTGTCCTCCTATTCATGTGAAGAATGTGCATTATCTACTATTCCATAAAGAAAGAATATCAGTCTATGAAGGGCATCCTCAATGGCCCCACACAAAGTTTTGGTCAACTTGGGTGAGAGAGCTGGTGTTCTATTCAGTTTCTTTTTTTCTTATAAATCACTGTGGACACATCAATACTATATAATGCTTTTTATAAATCTAATATCACAAAATAAACACAGGTAGCAGCATCCCAACAACAGTGCCAATAAATGAGCAAAACAACAACACATCCCTTGTTTCATATTTAGCATTCCTAAGGAATATTTTTATCAAAAATTAAAATAAATCTTTTATCTATTTAAATTTGTTCTTGCAAGTTCTAATCTCAGTCTTTTCTGACCTAAATGCAGAAGTGAAAATATGAATGAAAAAGCAAAAATGTGATATATACATACAATAAAATATTATGCATCCTTTAAAGGAAGGAAATTCTGACACACACTACAACATGGATGAACCTTGAGGACATTATGCTTAGCAAAACAAGCCAGTCACAGAAGAACAAATACTTTATGATTTCACTGATGTGAAGTTATTAGAAGACAGTTATCCCCCCTTATCTGTGGTTGTACTTTCAGAGGTTTTGTTTACCTGTGGTCAACTACGACCTGAAAATGTTAAATTCATAGTGTATTAGTCTGTTCTCATGCTGGCAACAAAGACATACCCAAGACTGGATAATTGATAAAGCAAAGTTTAATCAACTAACACTTCCACATGGCTGGGGAGGCCTCATAATCATGGCAGAAGGCAAAGGAGTAGCAAAGTCACGTTTTACATGGTGGCAGGCAAGAGAACTTATGCAGGAGAACTCCCATTTATAAAACCATCAGATCTCATGAGACTTATTCACTACCGCAAGAACAGTATGGGGGAAACTACTCCCATGATCCAATTATCTCCACGTGGCCCGGTGCTTAATACATGGGGATCATGACAATTCAAGGTGAGATTTGGGTGGGGATACTGCCAAAACATATCAGATAGTTCCAGAATAAGTTTTAAGTTGCACATGGTTCTGAGTAGCCTGATCAAATCTTGCATCATCTTGTTCCCTTCTTCCTGGGATCCAAATCATGTCTTTGTCCACCCTGTATATGCTACCTACACCCATTAGTTAGTCACTTAGCAGCCATCTTGGTTATCAGTTCAACCGTCCTTTTTTTTAACTTTTATTTTAGGTTGGGGGTACATGTGAAGGTTTGTTACAGAGGTAAACGTGTGTCACAGGGGTTTGTTGTACATATTATTTCATTAATACCCAGGTATTAAGTCCAGTACCCAATAGCTATCTTTTATGCTGCTTTCCCCACTCAAGTAGATCAGCTGTCACAGTATCACAATGCTTGCATTCGAGTAATCCGTTTAACTCAGGTGGTCAATTTTATTACTAGTAATTGTTGTTAATCTCTTATGGTTCCTAATTTATAAATTAAACTCTATCATAAATATGTATGTATAGGAAAAACATTATATATTGGCTTCAGTACTATGCTTAGTTTCAGACATCCACTGGGGAGCTTGGAACAGATCCTCCACAGATAAGAGGGGAATAGTCAAAATCATACAGAAGAAAAGTAGAATGGTGGTTTCCAGGGCATAAGGGATTGGAGTACTGGAAAGTTGGTATTTAATGAGTATAGAATTTAATTTTTCAAGTTGAAAATAGATGAAGATCGATGGTGGTAATGCTTGCACAACATTATAAATGTATTTAATACAACTGAACTGTACACTTAAAATGGTTAAGACGGTAAGTTTTATGTTATTCATATTCTAACAGAATTTTAAAAATGAAAAAAAGAATGTCAGGGTTGATGTTTATTTGTGTGTGTGCATGTGTGTGTGTGTGTGTGCATACATGAAAGTTGTATTTTTGTTGTGTTTACATTTTTACACATCTCAATTATGCCAGTCTCCTCAGATAAAAACACCTAGGGAGTTTCTAGAATTTCTGATTTTTGAAATCTTAGAAAAGAAGAAAGCGAACTATTCTTTGAAAGTGGTTTCTTTTTTAGTGAATTTTTGATGCTCATTTAAATTTATGTTCATATTAATGTTTTTTTCTAATTTATAATGATAAGGTTTCATAATTTATTCATTTCAAAGTGATAGGATTTAAGTAGTATTGTTCCTTAATATATGAAAGATGGTTAAGCCACAACCCTATTAACATAACATAACAGTGAATCTTCAGTAAAAAGATTCTATCTATCATTTGCTTTGGTTCTCACATAACTTCCTAATCTTGTTTCATTTTCGTTTTAAAAGAAGAGACTACTATACTAAAACACACCAAAGTGACTTTGATAAAACTTTGAAAATTTATATATTATGCCATTATTACACCTTTTATATTACAGAGTCATTTTTTAAAGACAGTAATTTCTGAGAGAAAATCATTAGGCTTTGGGCTCTACTTGTAGCTTTCTGCACTGTCATAAATACTTCTTCATAAACAGTCAGGTTTCACTAGTCTCCAGGAACTAACCAAGTCCAATTAAAATTAATAAGCAGATTGCATTGGATAATGGCAATTTTCAAAGTTCTCCCTACCAATGCTTCTGGGAATCCCATATGACCTCTAGCATCAGAGCAGGTGATTACCTGTTGCTACCTGTCTGCTGTTTAATTCCCGACACCAGGCTGTTGTTTGATTCCACAGTTCTGAGCAAAAGATATAAATATAGGTTCAGATCCCTGCTGACAATTATGCCTACCAAGACTTTCCATCCCCATGACATCACAGACTGACCAGAGCTATGGCAAATTGAGGAGGAGAATAATTATCTTTCTCTATGTCTCTCTATTGAAAGAGTTCCACAGTGAGGGTATTGAGCTGTGTGGTGTCAGACATCATAGTGAGGCAGTTATTTTAGATTTGCCTTTATCTATTTTCCCAAGATGCATACACACTTCTGAGGCGACTGTGTTGGAAAGGGTTCAAATAGCAGTAGCCAGGTTGTGAATATATCAGACTGCCCATTGTTCCACAAGGTTTATTGCTCATTCTTCCTCACTGCAGCCAATTCCTTGCTTTATAATAAAATCTTTCTTGAAATCTGGCTTCTGTCACTCTGCTCCTTCATTTTCATAAGCGTGTCCCAATTATAGCTGTGGTCCTACACTGCCAATTTGACTTATATATCTCTTCCTCTGGTGTGTGTGTTTGTGTGTATTTGCTTAATTTATTTTATAAGACAATAAGAATCAAAATCAGTTTTTATTCTTTTTTGTGAATTACCTATGTTATGTAGTATAAATGTATGTATATGTATTTATGTAGGTATTATGTATTCATATGTCTATGTATGCATTTATGCATTTACTTATATACTATTTAAAAGTGTGTGTGCATGTGTTCCTATGACAGAGACAAGATAGTATTAGGTTTTTGTTTGTACATTTTTATGTGTGTGTTTTGTTATTCTCTTAGGAGAAAACATACTTTTCTCTCAAAGAAAAACCAACAATAATTAAATGCAGCAGTTTCTAAATCTTGCTGGTGGTAGCATCATGCAGTAAAACATTCACTATATTTGGCTTACTTATATTCAAATCCAGTTTCGAGAGAAACTTACAGTTCTACATGAAAATGTTTATAGTTTTCTATGTTCCACTTTCTAATTATTGCCCCCCAATGTCTAAGTGTAGTCTTTACTTTGGAATAATCTCATTATACTTAGGCACACAATTTTTTATTGAAGTTATTTTGCAACAACAGATTCTCAAGAAAACATTAACCACCAAAACCGAAACAAGCAAAAGAAAACAAAGCATTGTTTCTTATTATTACATAGAAATGATATTTCCATTAAAAACATTTATGTCTGCCACCAGATGGTTCATTATTTATCTTCTGAGTCCCTATGTAAGATTAGCTGGTAACCGTATTGAGTGCAAAAATAATGAAAGGTTTTGGTCTAGCCTGATTCTTCACAGTGAATCACATAGGTATAAGCTCCCCAGTTTATACCCTAAAATTTTCCCTTTAGAGCAGTCACGAATCCTCAAACAAAAGAAAAATTACTCCCCAAATCCATTTGGAAGATCTGTGATCTGGTGATCACAGGCTACTCACGACTGTGTGAGGACATCTAACTTGGCCTCTGACATCAAAGCAACTCCAGGTGATGCTGTGTCCTTGAATATAACCTAGCTTCCAACACAGACTTGCCTAGGCACATTTTGAAGGCAGAAGACAACTTTCCCCATAGACTTTCTATTTCAATGTGTTTTCAGGATCCCTGAAAAAAAATACAAAATCTATTCTTTACTCCTGGAAAACACACAAGCAATATTTAGATTAAGAAAATAATACCATATTCTTTGAATGGTATAAAAATACTGATGAGGAGTGAGGAAACAGAAATACACAACTTATTTGCTATCCTGTTTGTTTTTAATTTATAACTTTGATAAGCAGTGACAATGATTATGTAGAATCTCTAAACTTGGGCATGCATGCAAACTAAATGAGTAAAAGTATATTTTAAAATATTATATTAGCTTGACCAACTGCTGCTATTATTATTAATAAGGATTTATGGTTCTGGAAGTAAAGATGTTACACTTAACTTTATGACAGTAATGATAATTATAATGATTCTTGGTGGAATGGAAACCTTGAACTGTGTTGGAAAGTTTACGCAAAGAAATGGACGAGGCCAAGGTTTTCATCCCCTACGTAATGGGAATGATATTTAAACTGGCCCAATTGTTCCATAAAACTAATGTTTATGGTTTCTTTTGAATAAACACAGAAATTGACCCTCCCAGTCTTGAAATTTGAGAAAGTTACCTTTGTCTCATCTGAGTTCCTTTCTCAGGAAACCAACCATCAGCCCTCCCAGATAATATCAAAGAGCTGAAACTCACCAGATCACCGCATATGGACAATGAGAAACCAGACCCCTTACCCATCATGATGGCCAAAGCGCCCAACTGCTTCCTATTGATCCACTCTTCTTTCTAACCCCTCCCCAGTTCCTGTTTTCCCACACATGGTTACGTTTCTTCCCTGTTATATAAACCCCTAATTTTAGTCTGTCAGGAGACCAATTTGAGACTGATCTGCTCTCCTCAGCTGAAGCACCCAGTTAAAGCCTTCCTGCCTGGAAATACTCATTATCTCAGTGATTGGCTCCCTGTGCAGTGAGCATCAGAACCTTGCCATTTTGGTAACAATATTCCATCAACCATTTTCACATCTTTATATTTTACTTCTTACCATTAAGCTGCTGGTAATGTCAATAAATAACTTAACATTGGGGAAAAAGGCACATTCATACTTGAACAAAAAGCAAGCCTATATGGTGTACCTGTTGCCAATACTCAGCTTGAAAAATCAGAACAAAAAAACTTGACAAACACTGTTAAGATCCGTTGCACACTTATGCAAAGACAAAGGGAAAATGAAGTCTGCTGTTATATCTGGCTAGAAAGCATACCACAGAATCATAATGTCTCAATATCAATTCTCTTTGAACATGTGGAGGGAACAGCCAAGCTGAAAAGTGGCTGAATTTGCTTTAAAGGATAGTTCTTGGGAAGTGGTGAGAGGACAAAGGAGTTACTGAATCTGAGAATGCTAGGTTAAATGCAAGAGAATGTATTGTGGATATGAGGACAAACTGGTGGAGACTCTGGAAAAGCCACTGGATAAGATATTTAGATAACAGCTGAGACAGAGATATTGGAGAAGTCAGGCCTGGTGTCTCATACTGATCTAGAGACAAGCATGTCTGTGGGAGCAGAGGTTTATTCTGCAGTTATATCCTTTTGGCTCTCAGACTTAGACTCCTTGGAAGATTTTAGCACAAATTAAAACTTAAACTTGAGTTCTTTATTTTTACTTTTTATTTTTTTTGAGATGGAGTCTTACTCTGTCGCCCAGGCTGGAGTGCAGTGGTGTAAAAGATCTCGGATCACTGCAACCTTCCACCACCCTGGTTCAAGTGATTCTCCTGCCTCAGCCTCCTGAGTAGCTGGGATTACAGGTGCGCACCACCACACCCGGCTAATTTTTGTATTTTTAGTAAAGACGAGATTTCACCATATTAGTCATACTTGTCTCGAACTCCTGACCTCATGATCCACCCACCTCGGCCTCCCAAAGGGCTGGGATTACAGGCATGAGCTACTGTACTCGGGCTAAACTTGAGTTCTTTGAGCAATGTGACTGTTCTTTTAATGTAGCCCAGATGTCACTCTCCTTAGCCCTTCCTGTGGATTGACTGAAAACAGGCACATCAATACATATGGTGAACAAAATATCTTTGTGAGTGTGTGTGTGTGTGTGTGTGTAAGGTTGTTTTGAGTTGCTTGATTTCTCTCTGTTAGTTTTCTCTCTTTAATAGCAAACTGGAAAGTAAAAAGTAAAACCTCCTCTGTAGTTCTTTCCAATCAGAGAAATATGTGCACACTCAATGGTGAAAGGAATGAGTGTATTATGAGCAAATCAAGGATGTCCTTGCTAACCACTTTTGTACATTTGCATGGGAATGTTCACAAATGTACTCTCCTCCATTTTCTGTATTGTATGTTAGTGCAGTTTTGTGGTGACAATTATTTCAATTATTATGCACAATTTTTATACATTCCAATAACAATTGATACTGGAAAAGAAGCTCCCCAATACCCTAAGCCATTGTTCTATCTTTGGCTATAACTAGTACAATATTTAGACAAATGCCATTGATAAGGAAATATAATATTGCAGAGGTAGATATGTTTAACCATAGAAAATGAAATTAATCTATCATTGTACTAATATGCTAATGGCAATTTTTATTTATAAACACGTGGCCCTGCTTGCTCTTTTACTCTGGGGAATATGCTGAAGTCTCTTGGATGTTCAAGTACATTGATTGGCTACTGCTGACAAAGTTTTGCAGTGTAGAAACTTGCTGGTGTTAGTAGCCTTGCTATTTCTGCTGTGGTATTTAAAAACTAAAAGGAAGAAAAAACAAATGATGTTACTGAAATTTTTCACCAAAGTTTTTGAAATCATTTTTTTATTTAAGAAGTTTTGCAGGAAAGTTCTATTTTATAGTCCACTAGCATAGCATTATAATACTTTTGTGAGGCATTTCAAAGCCTATATTCTTTTCTGAGACTTTGTCTTTTTATGCACTAACTTTAAAAGACTGGTTTTATATTACAAAAACTCAGGCAAGACTGGAAAAACCCTTCAAGAAGCCACCCTCTATGAGTGCATTGTGTGCTGCTTTGAAGTCGAATGTTGCCTTTGAAGACTTTTGCATCTTTGGACACAGACTTTTCTAATATATTTGTAATCAAAAGAGATTGAAAATGGTGGTTGTCTTTTATCACTGAAGACTATCTACTAAAAATATACCTATTGACACTATCCAAAATTTATAGTTTAAATTTCTGTTAGTAACCAAGATTTCCTTTTGAAAAGTGATTCCCTTTTTGCCTGTGGATAATGCCAGTTTATGTAGGCATTGTTTTGTTTTATTTTGCTTTTCTGCCAAGTATTACCCCATCAATCATTATTTTATTAATTCACACAAAAATATTTGCAGGGGTTACTTTATATTAGAATATTTGCTGAAAATAATGAAGATAGGTATGAGTGATAAGTTGTAGTAATAGTGATAGCTGTTTTTAACCAATGTCAAAAGACAAAGTTACAACACATTTAGTTACAAATCGAATTGGCTTTTACAAAATACAGTGAAAGCTCCCACTGGGCAATAGCAGAGCAGTGGCTTTTGTAAGGTGGAAACAAGTAAACAGAACAATAATAGTAATAAAAACCCCCAATTGGTGAAGTTAGATTACTTTAGGTTACTTTTTTGTAAGAATTAAAGCAGAGGGGGCTTCTTCATTATGCTCACTCCGGTAGACTGTATTCGCCTGTTTTTAAGAAAAGCTGATCCGTTTCAGGGTCTATCTGCTTCCTTATAATCTCTGATTATGTGGCATTTAGCATGAGTGACTCCATTTTGGTTTGGTCAGCTCTGTCGGGGCTTAGTGTAAGGACTGAGTGCAAATAATGACCTCTATAATTTTTGTTTAACATCATAGAAACAGGAAATTGCAACAGAGTGTGTAAGGTTTACTTGATTAGGGTATGTATAGGATGCTATAGGAATAGAGAGGAGAAAGGAAGATCCCACTTTCAAGACTGAAGAAGTTTTAGGAAATGAATGTTGGGAGACCATTCTCCATGGGTGTCTCAATTAACTGTAGTCTTGCAAAAAGAAGTACTGACTGCTTTTGTTCTGGATTACCTTTTAATCATCTTTGTATAGCAAACAGCCTTGGAAGATAGAGATAGTGTTTCCCTCCAGAGTAAAGGACAGGCTTGTTTGCTGTCCAGTGTAATAAAGATAATGTTTTCCTCCAGAACAAAGGTCAGACATACTTTTTGCTGATTATAAGATTTGGATTCTCTAAATGCAGGGTTCTTGTGCTGTGACACAACTCACTGGGTGGTGAGGATATCATGTGAACCTATTTGCTTTACTCCGCCAGAGCTGAATTCAGGGAAATAGTGCAAATGCTGATATTCTGCCTAATACTTCCGCTGTATTAAACTAGCCTTAACCTCTGACCCGGTGGTGGTCCCATGTCTTTGATCAGCAGCCATGAAACTTTAGCAGGCTGACCTGTTAGCTTGCAAGTAGATAAACACCCACACCCTTCAGAAACCCTTCACAGCTTTTGATAATGGGACATAAATTCTTGAATTTTGATGTCCCGAATCCTATCTGCTATTGAATCCCATCTACTATCGTATTATGTTATATATTTTTTAAAGAAAATAAACTGAGTATGAATAAATAGCTTTCTTTTTTTCTCACTTCATAATCTCTTGAACATTTGTAACTTAATTTAAAAAATATACAAAAGGGATATGATTCACATTAAAGTTAAACCCTTAAACTTTCGGATACCCCTATTTTAAAAGTTTCATGACATGTAACAAGGAATTAAGGCATTGGTTAGACATCAGTTTCCTTCATGTTTTATTCTCGTCGTGGTTAACACCTTGCTTTTCCTTCATGACTCTTTTTCACATTGCTTTTACTTTTGGTAGAAATGTTAATCAGATTGTCTTTCTGAAATTTGTATTATCAGCTTTGTAATTGAGGAATATACAGCCAATTTCTTCGGATGGCGGCATTCTCAAGGAATTAATTCCTTATTGTTCAGAAAATCTAGAATAATTTCTTCATTCCTGGCCTTGCTGTTACCTGCCTGGTCAGCATTCTCTTTTTAGTGATGTAACTATATTATCATTATTTCAAAAAATACCAGGTACCCACCTCTTCCCACTATTTTTTCTTTAAGTTGACTGCATTATCTTTAAATTGTTTTTAATTCCAAATTAATAAATGATACATTGAGAATTTCTTAAAGTTCAGTTTGTATTATCTTATTCTGATAAGTACAAAAAGGAGAACAAAATAGAATCTGAACCTTAGTTTTAGTTATTATAATAGAAAATAGTTACAACCCAGTACAAATTATTCAGAAGCTAATCACAAATTGTTTTGTTCTCAGTGTCATTAAACTTTATCTTCCTAGTGTAGAAAACACAGTTGAGCTAATTTGTGTCTGGTGTCTAAAATGGGAATTTTGGGAGTAAATAAGTCAATGTGAACTGATACATCCTGTTCTTGTTGTAAAACTGTTTGACAACAACGTTTCGCCTGTGCTTCTGAAAATAGGACTGGGGCGGGATGGAGGGATGATCCCATATGTGGATGGAATGCTGATGACATAGAGTGACATTTGCTGCCGTGAACACTCTGCTTGTTTGTATAAGACCTTGAGCACTAACTAAAGTATTTGGTTTTTTTTTAATTTTTCATTTTGAATAACCTCCAAGCCTTGGTCCTAAAGATGTTATTAGCATCTTATGAAATACTTAAAGTATAATACCTGAATCTAGAATCAAGGGTATAAAATAAAAACCTGGGTAGTTGGTGCCACTAGTTCCTTCTTTGTTTTTTGTTTTGTTTTGTTTTTTAATTAATAGGCAGCCATTTCTTTACATAAATCATGGGAATAAAAATGTTTAATTTGATCAATACATAGATTGTTTCAGGAAAAATATACCCACTCAAACATATGTGTGCATGTGTGTGCGCAGTGTGTTCTTACATACACACGTACACACACACACACACACAAACACAGACACATTTTTTCTTCCATGATGGTAACGTCTCTATTCATAAACTCAGGGATAAATGGCACACCTAGGATACCTACACCTGTATCCCTAGATGCTCCGTGAAATAGCTCTTACATTTAATTATATTAGTGCCACCTTGATCTCTCTAAGGGCTCACAGGACAAGATAGTGCCATGAAAAATGCTGATAGATTAACTTTATAGATGGTATTGCCATGGAAACATATGCACATGGGTGACAAGGCAGTGACACCAGTGACGATTACTTTTTGTGATTTGTTCTAAGTTGAGTGTAAACACTTTTATCTCATAAATTAACATATATTTTCCTTTTCTTATATTTCCCTTTTCTTATATTTCTTTTCCCCTTCTTTTAATTCTTGATTAAATTTTCTTATTTTGGTATTGTTATGTGGTAGTAAAAGAGTGTCTAAAACTTTATTCTTCACCTCAAATGGTATTCATTCTTAACCTCAAATGTATTTAGCTCTTGATACTGCTTTTAATACTTCTGTGCCAAACTACCATGTTCCATATCTAGTTATCAATCAATGCTTGAGTGCTGCAGTGCAAAAAATATAAGGGAGTTTCAATGTAGCGATGCCCTAACACTTATTCTAGAGAAATAGCATCTCATAGCTGTGCATGACAGTCAATAAATTATCAGGGGCAAAGGGAAATTTTAATTCAGAGAGAGGCTTCTGTATGGTAACGGGTGTATTTTGTGTGCTAAACATCGGTTGAGTAGCATGGTAGCAGTGACATAGAGATATGGCTGTTTTAAGTGATGAGGAGGAGCTCATCCTTGATGGAATCCCACAGATGACATCTGTGGACTTTGAGATTACTGGTGACAGAAAAGCGCCTCACAATGAGCATAGGCTAGTTATGCATTTCCAAAACGCAAGGACACCAGGAACACTGTATGAACTGCTAAACAATTTTTTTTTTTTTTTTTGAGACAGAGTCTTGCTGTGATGCCCAGGCTGGAGTGCAGTGGTGCGATCTCGGCTCACTGAAACCTCCACCTCCTGGGTTCAAGCGATTCTCCTGCCTCAACAAATCATTTTTATCCCCTCTACTGTCAGTTGTGAAACTACTTTTTGTCTTCTTCATTAAAAAATGGTCTAATGGCCTAGATTAGTTAGGAGTCATCTTGTAATGTGAAGCATTGAGATTCTTGAAAAGCAGGTGTCTCTCTTATTAAATATCAGAATACTGGCCGGGCACAGTGGCACATGCCTGTAATCCCAATACTTTGGGAGACTGAGGCGGGTGGATCACTTGAGACCAGGAGTTTGAGACCAGCCTGGCCAACATGGCGAAACCCCATCTCTACTAAAAATACAAAAATTAGCTTGGCATGGTGGTGCATGCCTATAGTCCCAGCTACTCCGAAGCTGGGGCAGGAGAATCGCTTGAACCTGGGAGTCAGAGGTTGCAGTGAGCCAAGAGATGGTGCCACTGCACTCCAGCCTGGGCGACAGAGTGAGACTCCATCTTTAAAAAATATGAAAAGAATTTTATATATATATATATATATATATATATATATATATATATATATATATATATACATACACACTAGCACATGGCCTGTTTCTTCCTGATCTGTGAAAACACTCTTGGTGGGGTGTGCTTTCATTGCCCTTTATCTGCTCATTCCTTTCCTTTTTTTCAGGGCTCAGATTGAACATCATACACAGAGATGAGAGCCCTCATTGCTATGTTTCATCAAGTACTCTGTTCATTTCCTTTGCAGCATTAATTACAATTACTAATTACTTCAATAATTAAAAATAAATGAATGCCCCCCCCCATACACACACACACAGCCAGACCCTCCCATGCACTCTGAAATGTAAATTTATGTGGACAGGAGGCATCTCTGCCTCGCTCTTATTTTCCCCAGGGCCTAGAGAGGTGTCTGAAAACCTATTATGTGTTCAATACATGTGTATTGAATACATGGACAAATGAAACAGCTTTACAATATTTTTCTATTTTAATACCAATTAACTTTGTAATATAGTAGTTTGGTTCCCAAATTCATTAATCTCTCTCTTCTTCTAATTAATTACTATTTTCATTACAAGATTTCTATTTTTATAAATGAGGCTATATTTCTTGTTTTCTTGACATTTCTGTTGAATTCTCTCTTTCAGGATTCTACTGCTATCTGGTGATTCTATAGCAACTTAGAGGTACAGTTTCTGGGTAGGGGGCTTAGGTCACAAATATCTCTCTCTAGAAAATTTTCCATGCCTGGTCTAGTGAATCAACAGACATTCCATCGTAGCTAAATCTGATTATGCATTTCAGTTACTGGATATGAAATGTGAACATTTATATCCAACAATGGATATAAATTGTTGGATATAAATGTTGTTGATATTAGTAAATATTTGGTAGAACATATGATTAAGGTAAAGCTTGCAAATTAAATGCATACAAAATGATATCTTGTATTTTTAAAATGAACTCATGGCTGGGCATGGTGGCTCATGCCTGTAATCCCAGCACTTTGGGAGGCTGAGTTGGGCGGTCATCTGAGGTCAGGAGTTTGAGACCAGTCTGGCCAACATGGTGAAACCCCGTCTCTGCTAAAAATCCAAAAATTAGCCAGGCGTGGTGTGGGCACCTGTAATCCCAGCTATTCAGGAGGATGAGGCAGGAGAATTGCTTGAACCCGGCAGGTGGAGGTTGCAGTGAGCCAAGATCACACCACTGCACTCCAGCCTGGGCATCAGAGCGAGACTCTGTCTCAAAAAATAAATAAATAAATAAATAATAAAGTAAAATGAACTTGTAAATAACAATATGCTCCCACAGTAAACATCAACATGTTTGGAAAAGCAATTCTTATTATTATTGTTACTATTATTATTTTTGAGATGGAGTCTCGCTCTGTCCCCCAGGCTAGTGTGCAGTGGCGCGATCTTGGCTCACTGCAAGCTCCGCCTCCCAGGTTCAGGCCATTCTCCTGCCTCAGCCTCCGGAGTAGCTGGGACTACAGGCACCCGCCACCACGCCTGGCTAATTTTTTTGTATTTTTTTAGTACAGACGGAGTTTCACCGTGTTAGTCAGGATGGTTTCGATCTCCTGACCTCGTGATCTGCCCACCTCAGCCTCCCAAAGTGCTGGGATTACAGGCGTGAGCCACCACACCCAGTGAAATTCTTATTTTTTTATGAATATGGTGAATTAAAATCTGTCAAAACAGATATTCGTGTCATTCATTTTTGTAACCAATCCACAACTCATATAATATACTTCACATAGTAGGCACCTTACCACCCCCACAACAACAAAAAAAGGTAAGTAACAGCTGCAAGCCAATCCAGAGAGCTGACTTCCTTCTTAGTTTAAACATATTTTATGAAGCAGGCGAATGCTCCATTCCATTTGCCTGATTCAATAAGAAGTTTAAAGTATTATATTTAAACAGAGGTAATATAAAACCATCTGCCAAGCCAGTCAAATGTTTTTCTTTTTCTTTTAATCACCACATAGGAAACATTTAGAACAATAAAAGTGGTAGAGATCAGTTTTTCAATCCACAGTGTGGTGATTCAGTGAACAAAATTGAAATCTGACGTTGTTGACATTTAAGATTATTGGTGGTCAGCTAGAGGGGAAAAAACAATATGTAACATGTTTCTCTACATGACTTATGTTTCTAGTTCCTGTAAAATGTCAAATTGAAGGTGACAAGGAGCAAGCTTTCTACTTCAAAATGTAACAAGAAAAGGCTCAAGCATGTGGTCTACAAAGACTTGCCGAACATCATTTTTACTGACAGCTAAACAGAGTTTTGCTTATTTCATGAAGGCAAATCCAAACAAACCTATTGAATTTTTATTACATTTACTTTTAAAAAAAAGCCAAGCTTAGTAATGGTATCTTTTCGGGATACCACTGTTGTTCTGTATTAACATATATATGAAGTATTTCCTATATATGAGGACCCATCTGATACTGATTTAACAGACCATAAAGGAAGTAGTAGTTCAACAATTCTGGCAAATGATTTTTTTTCCAAGGGGGTTTAGGATGCATTTCTCCTAATATATTCATTTATGTATTCGTCTAGAAAATAAAATGAGTAACTTGCTGTGGTAACCTTGGTATGTGGCAAAGAATAATAAGATAAAATCCCTGCCTTTAAGAAACTTACTGTTTGTTTAAGGAGAAATGCCATCATAATGCAGAATAGTAAATTCGTAAACAAGGCATATGGGAGCACTGAGGAAAGACACCAAACCTCAGTAATGTGTAAGGAATGGCTTACTGCAGTAAGTGATGCCACATTTGCAGAATGATCATGAGCTCTGCTAGCATAACAGATACCTAAATAAATTATTCCCCACTAGCCTATACCTCCTTTTCCTTATAGTTATTGAACATTTATTGATCTGCCAGCTATATTTTGACAACCTAATTCACTCTATTATGAACCAACAGAAAATCTGAAGACTTTTGTCACACAACAGATTCGAGGGATTGCCTTTTAGTTTTGTTTTTGAAAAAGACATATTTAGGTATTGAAAAAGCTAACAAAATCTAACTAGCTAACAAAAATCTTTAAGTTAATCTAACTTTTATTGTTCCTTTTCCATTTTGAGGCTGATCTTTTACTGGGTTGGAGAACATATGTAATGTATTTTTTTTCCTTTTTCAAATAAATGAAAACTATTTTATTTTGTATTAGGTTGGAGAATATATCTATATCCATATCTGTATAATTCATCAGGAAAGGGAGACCTTTCCTGGACAAATGGTTTTTGTTAGCATAATGTAATAGAATGATTATAGAACACAAAATCTATTCTTTTATCCAAACTATGAGATGCAGAAGTACAAGCCCATAATGCTTCAATTCCTACTATATATTTACATGTAGAAGCCAAAACTACATTGAATCAGCCTGAAGAGTTGCATCCAAAAGGTCATATTGGATTCTGTCCTCATCGTGAAGACTGCCAGCTCTAGTAAACTGAATGCATGTGATCTCAGCCCCAATGACACCAAGTAGAAAGATGACTTGTACATGTGGAACCAACAAAGCCGTAAAGGTTTCATTTCTTCCCCCCTCTTAGATAACCCAGCTCAGGGGACAGAAGTATATGACCTTTAGTTCCTGGTTGGCACAGTGAGATCTTAGATCCATCTTTAATCATCTAGCCCCTTTAAGTTGCTGAGGTAGGAATGCAGAAGGAGGAAGGGGTTAGGGCAGAGAAGGAGAGAGCATCTCTGTCTAGTGAGCTACACAGATTTACTTTCATTTGTTAGCAGCAAGATGTCTGCTTGCAGTTCAACCAAGCAATATTCAAATGCATGTGTTGCACCCAAAGATATACATAATGGGGAGGTAGGTGGCAATGTCATCATTCTAGACATTGTGTATTTTTCCCTCAGGAGTCTCTTTACCCAGCTGTTCCAGCCAAAGACATAGCGCTTTCTTTCTAGTATTAGAGGGTTTGCTCTTTCTGGCCACTGTGAGCTTGGCTCTCACCAACTTCTTGGGGGAGCCCACCTTAATCTGAGGCATTTGCTCTCCATTAGCTTGATGATATCTCATAAATTCATGCCTGGTTTCAATTTAAGTGCAAGGTAAGTTTCCCCGAGTAATCAGGTTGACTGCAAAAATTTATATTTTGGGGGTTTCATGTTTCATTTGCTAATGGTCCACCTTCATCAGCACTGTAAACACCATCTAGGGCACTAAATGCCAGTACACTACTCAATGCATCATCAACGACTTTACATGGGAATTAATCTGTTTCTGAGAAATCTTCCTGAGAAAGCTGAAGTTTACAGGTAGTTTCCAGGAATCACTTAAAAACAAACAAACAAACAGAAACAACTCAGATGTTTTACTGTCATTATCAAAAAGATCGAAGGTTGACGTCATAGATTGCAGGAGTGGCTGAGCTATAAGACTGCCCAGCTGTTGCCGATGTTATGGAAGCATAACAAGGGTGAAGCCGCTCACTCTCTCACCTCACAATTGATCTAATAATGTATTTGTGTTATGCCCATAGGCTACAAGTTTCCATCTATTCTCTCTCAATATAGGTGCTCAGCTATTTAACCTTTTTTTTTTTTTTTCTGAAAGGAATTGGAAACTTTTGGCTTCCCAGGACAAATCTTAGTACTGGTTGTTAAAATGGGTAGATGCAAGGCTGACTGAACCCCTGAAAGGGAGTTAGCAGCAGGCCAGGCAATGTTCAGGCATTTGTCTCTGAACCTACTTCTTGGTAGGTTCAGCCTGCAACCATACCTCCAATAACTGACAGAAGGATGACATATTACTTGATTGACCATATATTTTAGTCAATATGTTTATTAATTCTTATGGACTTTCCTCATATCATGTTAATCAGCTCATGAGGTCCTCATCCTTCCTTCCTTTTTCAAAAATCCATGTTCCTCTCAGCAACCCCATCTTTATCACCAGAACTGTTAAGAATTATGAAAGGACAGAGATTTTTTTTTCCTTATGTGTAAGTTAACACATTAGCCTGCTGCAGCTTCATGAAAGCAGAAGACAAGAGACTCCTGAGTCAGAGACAAAGGATTTTATGACTCACACCAACAGTCATATCCACAGTATTGGCTTTTATCATGCCAGATATCAGAGCTGCAATTCCCATAGGGCAACATGAAGAGGGCTAGGTGACACCTCACATACACAGTGGATTGTGTTACAGAAGAACCCTGAACTTTTTATATGGGTGATTAAGCTTGACTGTGCTTTGTGCCAAAAGGAGATGTTATTTTTATTATTCTGGTCAGTAAGCTGGCTACCCTTTGCCCCAGAAGATATCTCTATCTTGCATAACTGGCTTATTCCTGTCAATTCAGTATATTACTGAGCAATGCCCATTCTTTCTCAATAAGGGTATCATATATTTCCATATTCCTCATTTAATTTAAGGTCAGATGCCACACTTAGAATTCTCTGTGGAGGTTACACTCTTAGTGGGCCATATTTTACCATTGACTATCATGTCTTGGGACAAAAAGTTGTAAAATGATCCTGATTTCAAAATAACTGCCTAACATAATGATAACTATTCACAATGCAATTAGACTCTTGCTTTCAAAATGTGTAAAATGAGAAATGCAAAGAAAGTTTAAATCTACTGATGGCAGTAAAAGAAGAAAAAAATACAAAAGAATATGCACAGATAAAACATGCAAAAGTATTTAGAAGTATTATTTGTGTGTGTGTGTGTGAGAGAGAGAGAGAGGAGACAGAGAAAAGCAGGAGAGGAGAGAGAAAATCTGATGTAAGGAAAATTAGGAATAGAATTCTGAAACTGTGTTGAACCTTTGAACCTTTTTAATTCCTGTTTTTCACACACATTAGACTATGTGAAACCGGGTGTTGGCATTACCACAAATTTCCTAAACTTTTGGTCTTCCCTGTTATCCTTTGAATGGCCTGATATTATATGAATAAATCTCTATTTCTTGCAAGGAAAACAACAGCCTAACATTGATGGATATCCTAGAATTACTTTGCTTTGCATGGCTCTCTTACTAAAATTGTTTTAGCCAAGCAAATTTTACTGGGGGTTTTCAAGCAGAGTTGGATGGATTTGTTTATATCACATACTTTTTACAGCATATACATTAAAAAGACAGTTTTCAGAAATTTTTTTTTTCCCCAGACTTTGGGGAATACCTGAGCAAGGTTGTCTGTTGGAAGGGTCCCAGGTTGGACAGGACTGGGCCAATGCTAGTAGTAATCCTGCCTGGTCAGTCTTTGGCTGGGAGCAACCTGGGTTTCAGCCTTCAGTGGAGGCCATTGGTCAATTATGCATCCAGCTGCAGGTTATCTTGAAAGACATATGAATGGAACCACTCTATAGCCATCCCAACCTACATGGAGAACTTTTCTTGCCCCAACTTGTTTACTATATTAGAACTTAGCCTCCATTGTGTTATGTTCTGGCCTCTGCTTCTTAATTTTTTGGGATGTCATTTTATTGTCTTTAACTACAGTGACCCAATATGAAGCTCAGCCTTTAATCAGCTTCAATAACAGCTACCAAAATCACTCACACCAAGCATATTGGGATTTTACAGACTTTACACATTTTTAATCATCTTGAGCAGGGTTTAATCATCTTGAGCATGCATCTCTTAGCTATGCCCATGGGATCATCCCCCTGGTTGCCACGACTATTTTCTACATCCCCACTTTTGATCACCTCCTTCCAGGTTGGGGCTCTACATTCTCCCATATCACTTATCTAGATAGCCTTCTTCTCTCATTGGCACAAACCACACAAGGACCTAGAGTGATGCTCATATTCAACCCAATGCTGACATTAAATTATGCTTTTCAGGAAATACTTTGTTCCCTATGAGGACCTCTTGACCAATGTAATATACTGTCATTCACCACCAGAGACTTGTGACTTAAGAATTTTAACCATGCCAATAATTTTCACTCTGTAAAGTTTGTTAAATAGCATGGCTAATTCAAAATATTATTCAGAGTTGAGATAATTTCAGAATCCAAGAGTCACATGAAATCAGATAGAAGTGCACTTTTTGGCTGTTCATTTCAGACTCTGAAATAATTATTTTACTGATTACATTTTTATTTCCAACCATAAGACCTGTTACTTTATTCCAAATAACATACATTCTAACTCCCTCATGTAGAATATCTACTGCTGCTGTTACTGCCCCAAACAAACAATATCCAAAAATCAATAACAACAAAGTCCTGTTGCTGTATCATGGCAGAGAGCAGTGGCCCACTCCAGTCACTGGAGATTTATAAAAACTAAGTGTTGCTGATGGCTCTCCATTACTTGGTAACCACCTTGATGTT